>NW_003571060.1:440546-622731 GCF_000001405.40 Homo sapiens | reverse complement strand
TAGCTTGTTTGTATAGAGGTGTTCATAATAGTCTTTGACGATCTTTTCTATTTCTGTGGGATTGTTCGTAACATTGTTTTGTCAGTTCTATTTGTGTTTATTTGGATCTTTTCTCTTTTTCTTTGTTAATCTAGCTAACAGTCTATGAATTTTGTTTATTTTTTTTCAAAGAAAAACTCTTGGTTTTATTTATCTCTTGTATGGACTTTTTGGTCTCAATTTATTCAGTTCTCTCTGACTTTAGTTATTTCTCATCTTTTGCTGGCCTTGGGTTTGGACTGTTCCTTTTTTTTAATAGTTCCTCTAGATGCAGTGTTAAGTCACTAATTTGAGATCTTTCTAAACTTCTGATGAGGCATGTATTGCTATAAATTTTCCTCTTATCACTGCTTTAACTGCATCCCAAAGGTTTTGGTAAGTTTGTTTCTATTTTTATTAATTTTAAATAATGTTTTGTGATTTCTGCTTTAATTTCATTGTTCACCCAAGAGTTCTCAAGGGGTACAGTTCCAGCTTTTGACCATTCAATATGATGTTGGCTGTGGATTTGTCATAGATGGCTCTTAATATTCATTCAGAAACAAGTTGTTAAATTTCCATGTTTTTCTGTAGTTTTGAGAGATCATCTTGGTATTTTTTTCTATTTTTATTGTGTGCCTTGTTATGATTTTGATTCTTTGAATTTATTGAGACTTGCTTTGTGGCCAGTCTTAGAATATGATATGTTTTTTGTGTGTGCAGATAAGAAGAATCTATATTCTGCAGTTGTTGGGTGGAGTACTCTGTAGATGTCTATGAGGTCCAATTGGTCAAGTGTTGTCTTTAAGACCAGAATTTCTTTGTTAGTTTTCTGTTTTAGTGATTCATCTGACGTTGTTAGTGGGATACTGAAGTCCCTTACTATTATTGTGTGGCTGTCTAACTCTTTTCATAGGTGAAGAATAACTTGTTTTATGAATCGGAGTGCTCCAAATTTGGGTGCATATATATTTAGAATAGTTAAGTCTTCTGTCAAATTGAACCCTTTATCATTTTGTAATGCCCTTCTTTGTCCTTCCTGATTGCTGTTGATTTAAAGTGTGTTTCATGTGATATAAGAATAGGAATGCCTTCCTTTTTTTTGTTTCCTGGTTGCCTAGTAAATATTTCTTCATCCTTTTACTTTGAGCCTGTGGGTGTCATTACATGTGAGATGGGTCTCTTGAAGACAGCAGGCAGTTGGCTCTTGGCTTTTTATCCACGTTGCCACTCTATGCCTTTTATGTGGGGAATTTAGGCCATTTACATTTCTTCTCCTGATATATCCTTTTTATATTTTTATGATTGCCTTTTAAAATATATTGAATGGTTGTAATTCCAGGGAAATGTCTTTCAGAACAGTATTTATTCCTATCTACATGTTTTGGAGAGTGCACTAGGGGACATTGAAGTTTATTTCCTGAAAAGAGTTTAATTTTAAAATGTATTTTATTTAATAACTCAATGATTCAGGGAATGTCTAGGTATTTCAGAGATTGTTTTAGACAGTTTGTTTTCTTGTGATATGTGACCACTTCATCTAAGCTGAATAATGTCTTCATAATGTCCACTTAGAATCTTTTGAATTCTGTAGGATCTGTACTGATGTCATTGTTTCCTTTCTGATATTGGTAATTTTCCTGGGGTAGGATTCTTAGCTCCTCCTGAGGTCCTGCCTCTAAAATTCAGGGAACAATGAGTCAGATTAGTACTCTGATTTCAAAGGGAAAGCTGATCATCTACCATTTTTTGTTTATGTAAATGGACACATTAACATCCCTTGTCTGAACCTTAGTTACCTTGTTTGGAGCATTTTGCTATAAATCTCACTTCTCAGAGTGGTTGTGGGGCTTGATGTGGCTGGGGTATGGGATGGCTTAAACATAATTTATTTCCAGACCAGGTTAAGGCATGAAGGGGTTGGGACTTGTTAGAATCCTGTTGTTGGACTCCACAGTAAGGGTAGACATTTGAGGCACCCAATCAAAAACCTCAGTTGTTCCTAGCACTGAGAAATTTGATAGAATGTTTCTAAAACATTATTCATGGTCTAATGCACAAAAAGTAAAGTGATAGCCCTGGAAGTAGACAGGGAACCATAAGAAAAAAGAGAGAGCAAAGCTCAGTGGTCACCAGTGCCTGGGACCATCAAGGGGTTATTAAGGAGGAAGTTTCCACCTCTGTGGGGAACAGAAGAGGCTCCCTAGGGTCCACACACACAGGGAGTGAGCCAAGACTCTGGGCGAGGCTGGAAGCTCTGGGTCTCCTTCTGTGAGATTTTCTTTTTTTTTTTTGAGATGGAGTCTTGCTCTGCCACCCAGGCTAGAGTGCAACGGCGCGATCTCGGCTCATGGCAACCTCTGCATAAAGTGGTATGTATTTAAGGCATGCATTAGACAAATTACTAAGTATTTACTAGATAAGAAAAAATTATATCTGAATCTTTTCAAATTGCCGTCTTATGCATTATATTCTCTTTTTATAGTGCAATTTCTTAATAGTTAATGCCAGAAGATTTTTTTTTCTTCCTTTCTTTCTTTCTTTTTTTTTTTTTTTGAGACAGAGTCTCACTCTGTTGCCAGGCTGGAGTGCAGTGGCACGATCTCGGCTCACTGCAACCTCCGTCTCTCGGGTTCACGCCATTCTCCCGCCTCAGCCTCCTGAGAAGCTGGGACTACAGGCACCCTCTACCATGCCCAGCTAATTTTTTTTTTTTTTGTATTTTTAGTAGAGACGGGGTTTCACCATGTTTGCCAGGATGATCTCTGTCTCTTGAACTCGTGATCCACCTGCCTTGGCTTCCCAAAGTGCTGGGATTACAGGCATGAGCCACTGCACCTGGTCGCCAAAAGATATTTTTAAAAACCTAAATGCCACTTGAAATGAATAAGACCCTCAATAATTCATGGGATATACATGTGAACTTATGACATATGATGAAATAAGCAGGTTACAAAATTGTAATATATCAAGCAAGGTAGAAAGCCATGGCAGAAAAAGAGACAAGCATTTTCAAGATAAGGAATGAAAGAGGGGAAACAGTACTATTGATTTTACAGATTTTACAAAGATATCTTAGGTGTGTTTTCCTAAATAATAAATGTACCCTCCTTTTGACCTTTATGTAATGAAATAACCATGCACACATTTTCAAATAATACTTCATTTACTTGACTTTATGCTTGAAAATTGAAGTATGGTGCTGTTTGTTATTTTCATTTATGCATTTTACTACCTTGTAATATTCCACTGAGTCTATTTACCACACTATGTTTATTTTTTTCGTAGGTGGACTTTGGTATTTTATAGCTTTGGCTAATAGGAACAGCATTCCTATAACAGTTGTGAGTGTATCATGACACATAAGTAGACATTTATCTCTAGGGTACATAATTAAGTACATAATTAAGAAGGGTCACAGCCGTGTGCCTCCTCTTTTTAACTAGATAATTCCAATACACTTCCTTAATTGATTAAAGCAATTTGTACTCTTACTATTAATGTACTAAAATTCTACATGTTCAATATTCTTTCCAAAAAATGATTTTGCTACTTTTTTCTTTTATTGAGACTGAGTCTTGCTCTATCACCCAGGCTGTAGTGATCTCGGCTCACTGCAACCTCCGCCTCCTGGGTTCATGCGATTCTCGTGCCTTGGCCTCCCAAGTAGCTGGGATTAACAGGCAGGCGCCACCATGTCTGGCTAATTTTTGTATTTTTAGTAGAGACAGGGTTTCACCATGTTGGCCAGGCTGGTCTCGAACTCCTGACCTCAGGTGATCCTCCTGCCTCGGCCTCCCAAAGTGTTGGGATTACAGGCATGAGCCACCACACCCGGCCTATTTTTTTCTTTTCCCTCCATTGTGCTATGATTTTTGACATTACAATTTTACTGAAACTACACCATAAGAATGAAGCAGAAATTATTATAACCTTTAAATAAACTTTACAACTGGTTCATACTCGTGTGAACGACAATTCTTTTGACTACTTCCCAACTGTGCATTCAATGGCGTCATATGGGCACCCTGAAGTTGGCCATAAAGGACGTATTTATACCACACTAATCAGCAAATACCATAAATCTGGGGCTTTATATGTTCAGAGTTTTCTTAAGAAAATAATTTTTTCAGAGAGCCAGTTTAACAGAATACCATGAGGCTGAGCCTTCGAGCGTTAGTGTGCTCATTCTGAGAGATGATATTTCTGGACGAAGTACACAGGTATCATCCGATGAAGAGTGAAGGGAATTCAGGGTCCAGAGAGGGTGCTAGGGCATCATTTCAGACTCATATTTCCCTTTTTTTTTTTTTTTTTGGAGATAGAGTCTTGCTCTGTTGCCCAGGCTGGAGTGCAGTGGCAAGATCTTGGCTCACTGCAACCTCCGCCTCCCGGGTTCAAGCTATTCTCCCACCTCAGCTTCCTGAGCAGCTGGGATTACAGGTGCTCACTGCCACACCCAGCTAATTTTTGTATCTTTTAGTAGAGACAGGGTTTCACCATGTTGGCCAGGTTGGTCTCGAACTTCTGACCTCAAGTGATCCGCCCACCTCAGCCTCCCAAAGTGCTGGGATTACAGGTGTGAGCCACTGTGCCTGGCCTCAGACTCATGTTTCAAAGTCCCAAATACAAATCTGCCCACCTATTCCAGTTATTTAATCCAGATCTATGCTCAGAACTGAAAAGATGGAGAATCAATAGTTCACTTTAGAGAATGCGGTAGTTGGAAACAAAGACAAATGTATTACAGGACAGTGGACCAGAGCACGTGATCGCAGGGGTGTGGATGCAAACCCACCATGGGGGACGTGCCTTCACATCACAGAGAGCGAAAGGAAGGGAGGGGCAGACACGGAGGGTCCACAACAGCTGGACTGAAAGCACTGCCATTTAATGGAAGTTTAATGGAGGAAGCGTTCTCTACAGGCACCCAGACATCTTCCTGAACCTGACCCAAGCCTCCCCTTCTCGACTTTCTCAGTAGACGGTTTCCCGAATGATGGTCCAGACTTTCTTCCAGAACCTCCTAGGACTATCAGACTCATTGCCAAGGCTCTGGCACTCTGAAGGGTGCATTGTTCTCTCATGTATTTACCTCCTTGCTGCATCTTGGGGACTTCTCTAGCTGTGCCAATCCTAAAGCAGCAGAATCCCGAGGACCACCAGGACCAAGCCAGCCACAGCCACGCGGATGAGATTCTCCACTGTGTAATCCTGGGGGTGTGAGGCTGGGGATGGTGGACCAAGAGGTCTCAGAGGTCAGGGCAGATCAACATCACCCTGGACCCCTGGATGTCCACCCAGGGCACCCACCTCCCCTTCACAGGACCTGACCCTCTGTGCCAGCCCCATAACCGAGAGCATCTCCTTACACACCAGTCTTGGAGTCTGTCTTGTTTTGCGATGGGCTGAGGGTCTCAGCTGCTCCTGAGAATCAACCAAAAAAGGGGGAGGTGTGTGAGGAGTTGAAGAGACTTAAGCCAACATGTCCCTCAGTTGCTGCATTCCTTTGTGTCTACACTTCTCCTAACTGTTCTGTAGTTGTGTGATAGAACCTTTCCCTGCTGTGGCAGAGGTACATTCGCATACATACATACATATATGCATAGGTGTAAATATGTGTGTATACATAATATGTGTTATGCATATGTGTATACATAATATGTATTATGCATATGTGTATAGATAATATGTATTATGCATATGTGTATGCATAATATGTATTATAAGATATAGTGTGAGTATATATAAATATATAATATATAAGATATATAATAGTGTGTGTATACATATAAATATATAATAAGATATGTAATAGTGTGTGCATATATAAATATATAATATATAATAAGATATATAATAGTGTGTATATATAAATATATAATACATAATATATTATAAGATATATAATAGTATGTATATATAAATATATAATACATAATATATAAGATATATAATAGTGTGTGTATATATAAATATATAATACATAATATATAAGATATATAATAGTGTGTGTATATATAAATATATAATACATTATATATTATAAGATATATAATAGTATATATAAATATATAGTACATAATATATAATAAGATATATAATAGTGTGTGTATACATATAAATATATAATAAGATATGTAATAGTGTGTGCATATATAAATATATAATATATAATAAGATATATAATAGTGTATATATAAATATATAATACATAATATATTATAAGATATATAATAGTATGTATATATAAATATATAATACATAATATATAAGATATATAATAGTGTGTGTATATATAAATATATAATACATTATATATTATAAGATATATAATAGTATATATAAATATATAGTACATAATATATAATAAGATATATAATAGTGTGTGTATATATAAATATATAATACATAATATATATTATAAGATATAATAATGTGTGGGTAATATAAATATATAATACATAATATATAAGATATATAATAGTGCATATATAAATATATAATACATAATATATATTATAAGATATAATAATGTGTGGGTATATATAAATATATAATACATAATATATATTATAAGATATAATAATGTGTGGGTATATATAAATATATAATACATAATATATAAGATATATAATAGTGTATATATAAATATATAATACATAATATATATTATAAGATATATAATAGTGTGTGAGTATATATAAACACATACATATATATTTGAAGTGAGAAGAGTATTATATAATTTAGAAACAAACAAGTTTGTCCTCCATTTTCTTGTGGTTAATGTAATTATTATCAATAAATCAGAAGAGATCATTTCGGAAAGGATTGAAAGGGAGTGTGTCTGTGGTAAGTTAATAGGAACTAAAATTAGCATACCCAAACCAATAGCTTTCTCATCCATACGTAACTAATTTTAGAAAATAGAAAGGAATCAAAGACTTTCAAATTATTCAAGTAGTAAAACAATGCTTAAAATTCACAATGTCCACAATTTTTATGAATACAACTTCAAGCATCTGCTAACTGTATAAAGTTTAATTTTAAATGTATTGGATAAAAAGACATTATTAATGAGAAGTTATTCTCCATCATGAATGCACATATTTAATTTAATCCCAAAGAAAATCAGAGCACAGTTATTTTACATCATAACGCTACCTAACAAATTAAATGTGTAAATTATAAATGCCAGCATTGCTTTGAAATCTTCAGAAACAGAAAGAGAAACTAGATATGTGGACATAAAAAATAAAGGACAGAAAGGAATTGCACACGAGGTTTGCTGTTGAATAATTTGCCTGCATTGCTGCAGTGAGCAGGTGCATGATCTCCCCTTCGTCTCAGGTATGCACTGAGTATTTTGGGGCCGCCAGGGGAGCCCAGGTGGGGAGTGGGTGGGGCCTCCATCTTCTACCCTCAGCCTAAGCATGATTCCTCCAAGGTTTCTCCATATCTCATTTCAGCCCTCCCTGGCCTTTAGCCCCATCTGAGGTCTCTGGGGTGGGAGCCCAGGATTAGGAGGTCCCTGACTATTTCCACCCTCTCATGGGCTGGGCCCTCCCCTGCCGACCCTCCCCCTTTACTCCCCTCTTTCCTTAGCGTCCTGAGCTCTCCTGGGGGCAGGGCCTGAGCTGAGGTTTGAGCTCAGAGAGGACAGGGTCAGCGGCCTCACCTGAGACCACGAGCTCCAGGGGGTCACTGGGGTGAGACAGCAGGTAGGGGAAGAATCTGCGTGAGCTGTAGCACCTGTAGGTCCCCGCGTGGGCTGAGGTCACAGGACTCATGGGGAATTCAGCCTGGTGCTGCTGAGCTTGGTGCTCTGATCTCAGACGCAGTGGGTGATGGGCTGCCCCCTCCTTGGTCAGAAGGAAAGTGTCCAACTGCTCCCGTGACTGACACAGCAGGGTCACGTTCTCTCCTGAGGCCACCGTGGGGCCCGGCTGCACCGAGAGGGAGGGTCTGCCACGGATCTGTCCTGGAGAGAAGAAGGATGGGTGAGGGGCTGCCCCACCTCGTTCTGAGCTGACACCTCCCCAGGCCTCTCTCTGGGACCCTCAGTCTCTGTCTCTGTTTTCTCTGAGTCTCCCCCTCCCCACCCATCCCCTGTCTCTGTCTGTCTCTCCCTCCCTTGGGACCCCCACCCCTCATCCTGGCCATCACCACCTGGGCTCCCCCAGCAGGGCCTGTGCGGAGCCTGGGTCCCTGACTGAACCTGCTGGGCTCCTCACCTGCGATCAGGATGCTCAGGGGGTCACTGGGGGCCGACCACTCGGAGGAGAGGTTGTGTGCACCGTAGCATCTGTACTGGCCCCCGTGGGAGACCCTCACAGGGCCCAGGGTGAAGTTGGCCTGGGAGAGCCCAGCCTGGGGCTGCCGGCCAGAGCCCTGGACGAGGTCATGTCCCCCCTCCTTGTACAGAGTGAATTTGTCATAGCCGACATCAGAGCCACACTGGAGGGTCAGATTCTCCCCAGGGGCCACGACAGGGCCCTGCAGGGTCAGGAGGGAGGGCTTCCTAGACACGCCTGGAGGGAAAGAAGAGTCGGGACTAGGAGGGCTGGTTCCTCCCACACCCCTTCCTTCTCCCCTCCTGGCCCTGCAGGTCTCACTGTCTCTCATACTCAGTGTCTCTGGGCTCAGGAGTCCCAAACTTCCCTTGTTCCACCCTCCTACATGGGGCTCCGTGAGAGTAAGTTCTCAAAAATAAATAGGGCAAGGAGGAAGACATCCATACCTAAGACCAGGATCTCCATGGTATCACTGGGTTCCGACCACACCCAGGGGAAGTTCGTGTAATGCCCATAGCATCTGAACATCCACCGGTGACTGGCAGCCACACGGCCCACAGGGAACAGGGCCAGGGACAAGGGACAGCCCCTTGGAGAGTTCCTGTGAGTCCAGCATCCAGGAGAGCTTGTTTTCTCCTTCCTCAATCAAAATGAACCTGTGAAATCCCACCCTTGAGCTACACTGGATGGTCACGTTCTCTCCTGAGGTCACCACAGGGCTCGGCAGGGCTGAGAGAGTGGGTTTTCTGTGGGCTCCTAGGAGAGAAGGAGACACTGTCTTAAATGGGGCTCACGCGTCCCACATCATCCCCCAGGGCTGAGTTATTAGAACGGAGATGCCCTTGAGAGCCGACCCCCTTCCTGCAGGCAGAGCCTGGGGCTGGGACCCCTGAGTGTCCTCTTACCTGTCACCACCAGCTCCAGGGGCTCGCTGCGCTCTGACCAGCCTGCAGGGCTGAGATAGTGACAGTGGTATCTCCCTGCATGGTGCTCTCTCATGGATGGGATGAAGAAGTTGGTCTTGTTCCTGGGCTCTGGTGGGCTCTGTTGGTACCAGGTCATGGGGTTTCCTTCCTTGGTGAGATAGTAACCCTGGGTATCCAGGGTCCCCTGGCACCAGAGGGTCATGGGGCTCTCCCAGGTAATCACAGAGCCTGGCTCAGCCCAGAGGCTGGGTTTGGGGAGGGTCCCTGGAAGAAACCACAGGCTGGGGTCCACAGACCTCCCCCACTCCTCATTCCCAGCTCAGGTCACAGACCCTCTTGATTTTCTCACCCTCAGTTCAGAAGCCCCTGAGATGAGAGTCCAGGTGCTGAGTGTGAGGTCAGGCATGGGAGGTTAGCAGAGACTCACCTGCAAGTGCTTGGGCTTTCTGGCCCAGACTCAGCCATGGAGAAGAGTTTCCTGTGGGGGATTTGGAACACAGAGGTGTGGCTGCTTCCCTTCCTGTTGGAGCACCAGTAGCCACTGGAGCCCTGAGGCTCTCTGGTGAACAAGGCTGCTGTGGGACCCTCCCCACCTCAGCCCAGTGCCCCTCCTGTCCCTCGTCTCTCCACCACTGACTGAGGCACAGAAGAACAGTGAGGATGGACACCATGATGCCTGCTCTGCGTGCTCCAGCTGTGGGACAGGTGACCACATGGCCCTCCATGACAGACAGATGCACGGATGTGGTTAAGTCAGAGCCTGCTGCCGCCTGCCTGGGTCCCCACAGCTGTGAACCCACAGGAAGTGGACAGCCCCTTGCTGGGCCTGTCTCTTATTCCCCCCCCAGTGCAGGGGCTCAGGAGGACCCAGGCCCTCTGCACACATCTCAGCCCAGACCTGAGGTGTCCCCTGATTGCCAGGGATCCTTTGTCTGAAAACCTGCCCGTGGAGGGTGGACCCAACATCATATCTATGTCAGCTCCCAACTTAGCTGGGTCTAAACTGAAAACACAGCCCTTATTTTCTCAGAGCCTCCACTCATGACATCGGCTTTCTTTTTCCCCACTGATGCAAAGACAAATATTTCCCAGCAGAAAGTCATCCTGATCTGGAGAGACCCATTTCCTGCGTTCAGTAAATAAAGTCAGTTTCATTAGGGGAGGCTCTGGGAAAATAAGGGGATGCAGACTAGCAGAAGATGAACATTTAGCTACTTGTTTCTCAATTAATTGATTTATTACCAAAGAGAGAGAAGTGGAAACATGAGAATAGGGACCATGACTAGAATGTGGTTGAGGGAATGGTTTCTATCTTATTCCCTGGCAGAGAACTAAGGGATAAGAATGAGAAAGCTGGCTGGGTGCAGTGGCTTACACCTGTAATCCCAGCACTTTGGGAGGCCGAGGCAGGAAGATCACAAGGTCAGGAGTTCAAGACCAGCCTGACCAACATGGTGAAACCCCTGTCTCTACTAAAAATACAAAAACTAGCTGGGTGTGCTGGCATGCGCCTGTAATCCCAGCTACTAGGGAGGCTGAGGTGGGAGAATCGCTTGAACCTGGGAGGTGGAGCTTGCAGTGAGCCGAGATCGCGCCACTGCACTCCAGCCTGGGCAACAAAGCCGGACTGTCTCAAAAAAAAAAAAAAAAAAAAAAGAAAAGAAAGAGAGAAAACCCAGCAGTGAGAGGTAGTTGTGAGAACACACTAAAGAGGAAAGATAATCCAGGGCTGGGAGTGTGGCTCATGCCTGTAATTCCAGCACTTTGGGAGGCTGAGGCTGGCAGATCACAAGGTCAGGAGTTCGAGACCAGCCTGACCAACATGGTGAAACCCTGTGTCTACTAAAAATGCAAAAATTAGCTGGGTGTGGTGGTGGGTGCCTGTAATCCCAGCTACTCAGGAGGCTGAGGTGGGAGAATCGCTTGAACCCAGGAGACGGAGGTTGCAGTGAGCTGAGATTGCACCACTGCACTCCAGCATAGGCAACAAAGCCAGACTCTGCCAAAAACAAAAACAAAAACAAAAACAAAAACAAAAAACAAGAAAGCTCAGTGAGAGGTGGTTGTGAGAACACACTAAAGAGGAAAGATCATTCAGGGCTGGGAGTGGTGACTCACGCCTGTAATCCCAGCACTTTGGGGGGCCACAGGCGGGTGGATTACCTGAGGGCAGGAGTTCAAGACCAGTCTGGCCAACATGGTGAAACCTCGTCTCTACTAAAAATACAAAAACTAGCTGGGTGTGATGGCGGGTGCCTGTAATCCCAGCTACTCGAGAGGCTGAGTCAGGAGAATCTCTTGAACCCAGGAGGCAGAGGTTGCAGTGAGCTGGGATCGTGCCACTGTACTCTAGCCTGGGTAACAGAGCAAGGCTCTGTCTCAAAAAAATAAAAATTAGAAAGAAAAAAGGAGAAGGAGAAGAGGAAAGAGACAGAAAGGAGAGAAACATCCCTGAGGTGGAACATTACATGCAACATGGAGTAGGCAGGGAATCCGATAGAGCACTGAAACTCTCGCTGGGTACGGTGGCTAACATCTGTACTCCCAGCACTTTGGGTGGCCGAGGTGGATGGATCACCTGAGGTCAGGAGTTTAAGACCAGCCTGACCAACATGGTGAAACCCCATCTCTACTAAAAATACAAAAGGCTGGGTGTGGTGGCTCACGCCTGTAATCCCAACACTTTGGCAGTCTGATACAGGCGGATCACATGAGATCAGGAGTTTGAGACCAGCCTGGCCAAGATGGCAAAACCTCATCTCTACTAAAAATACAAACATTACCTGGCTGTGGTGGCAGTCGCCTGTAATCCCAGCTATGCAGGAGGCTGAGGCAGGAGAATCGCTTGAACCTGAGAGGTGGAGGTTGCAGTGAGTCAAGATCGTGCCATTGCACTCCAGCCTGGCCAATAGGAGCAAAACTCCATGTGAAAATAAAATAAAATAAAATAAAATATAATAAAATAAAATAATAAATCAAAAAAGGACTGGACATCTCCTGTGGGTTGTCAGTGAATGGAACTAAGCAAGCCACCGCTCTTTCCCTTTTGTCCTGCAAGTGTCTTTCTTGGCCTCCAGGAAGTGAGTTCCATCATGTCAGACCCTATGTTTGTTCCTGCTGGGTTCACTGAGGCTCCTCCCTTTCCACCTGTGGCTCCCCATGGGTTCCCAGTCCCCAGCCAGTGTTGTGAATCGAGCCAGGAAGACCAGCCCTATCACACCCCTCCTGATGGAATTCCCACAGTGTCATCCTGGAGAACAGGGGCTGGGGGCTGGGGTAGGATCAGAGACCTTTTCATGTGGGCCAGGCCCCTCCCTCCATAGGAGCTCTGACACGAAGCTCATCACCATTCATTTCACCCTGACGATATTCTTCCTGCCCAGACACCCCCGTTCTCCCTATGTCATCATGGGCACCTCAGTGAAATCCATGGTTGAGGGTCTCTGTCACTTACTCTGCCCTCTTCTTGGAAAATTTCCTTGGATCCTTCCAGAGCCCTTCCTGAGTGTGCTGCAGGGTCTCTGCCACATGACACACTCTCAGGAACCCTCATCCTCCCCTTAATCTACTGCGCCCACATAGCCAGGTGCAGGCTCCGTTTCTTCATCTTCCCTTCCCCACAGGCCCCGATGGAGAGTGGATTAGACTCGCTCCTGAGTAGGGACTCAGGTCACTCTGACCCCTTCCTCCCTGTGGACGAGGCCTCTGTCCCAGAGCTTTGGAGGCTGAAGGGCCTTGTGGATTCCCGCACTGGCCACAGTCTCCGATGCAGATGGGGAACTGGGGACCTGGGAGGGGTTGCCTAGCCCAAGGCCACATAGCTGGGCGGTGGCACAGCCTTCACTCACACAGGGACATTCCATCTTCCCAGGGACTTCACACTGGAGGCTAAGAGCCCCACTTTGCACACCACATTCAGGGGTAGATTCTGTGTGTGACTAACAAGTTCTCTTAGGGTTCCGAGGTAACAGGACAGCAAATGGATGAGTGAGAGTTTCCCTCACCCCACTGAAGTAGGACCATTCTCTGTGGAGGGTTGGTCCCCTGACTTCCTCTACTCTGTCATCTCCCTAGTGACTGATAGGGGTCCTGGGGTCTCTTCCCTGGAATCCCATGAGGGACAATTCCTTTCCTGAAGGGAAGGTATAGAGAGGACTAGCAGGTGCCTGGTGATGGAAAGTCCCCATAATCAAGAGACATTGCCTCCCCCCCCCGGCATGATAAATATCTGGGTTTCCAAATGGGAAATCTGTCTGTGATGAGAGCTCAGGAGGGGCTTCTGGAAGATGGAAAAGGGCTAGAGGCTGAGGCCACTGCTTATCTCCCCACACTGTATCTGGCTTCACCTCCTGTGTTTGTCCTGACCTCTTCCTTCACTCACCTGGATAAGTAGGACCCCAAAGTGGGCCTCCAGACAGGAAGCAGTGGAGAGTGTGGAGCTGCCCTGTCTACCACCCTACACCCTGACACCACTGTCATACTCAACCTCTCTTTTCCTCTTTGTGTTTCTCATTGCTTCATTTTGTCTGGAATCCCTAAGATTCCCATGTCTCCAGCAGGCTGTCCCTCAGACGTGGCTATATGATTTAGTGTTTCACAGGGCATGCAGCAGGCATGGGCTACCCCCAGTAACAGTGGTCATCTAGGGCTGATCACTCACAGGCAGAGCCATCGACAGAGAGCTGCAGCATCTAGAGGTCCCATCACCAGCCCCAAGACCCAGAGAGAAGTTGGCCTGAATGCCCCACTCTGTCTCTGCACCCCAGTGAGCCAGTGTCCAGGGGCCTTACCTTCCTCGTTAGAAGGCACAGGTCAAATGAGCTTCCAGAGCTGCAGAGCAAAGTCACATTCTCTCCATCATTACTTACTGCAGGGCACAGTTGAGCTGAGAAGGAAGGTCTCTTGTAGACGCCTGGGGAAAAAAATAGTCCTTGACTGTCGAGCACAAGCCTTACCCAGCCTATCCTCAGGGCATGAAAAAGGCATTCTCTCCACCTGTTCTGGGGAGCACACTCTGTTACCCACTCGTGCCTCTCTCCATCTCAGTTCTAGCTCTACAAGCTGGCTCATCATGTGTGTGTTTTCCTGTCTGTCTTTGCTCAGCTTTTCCTTGAATCTCTTGCTTTTTGCCGGTGCGTGTGTGGCTTTCTGCCCTTAGAACCATATGAGATTTAGGGTTCTCCTGGCACATAGAACTGTTTACTTTGAGGACCCTCAGAAAACATAGCCCTGGGCTAAGGCTCCCTGTCCTGGAACTAGAAGGTTATGGGTGTCACCATTTCCCAACAGCATGTCTGAAAGTGCCAGAATCTTCAAAGAGTCTGCAACATGTTTGTAGGATCTTTATAGGGTCTGATATTGCAGGGACCAACCAAGGTGCCCTCACACCCCAAGACGCTGGAAGTGACCCCTTGCTGAAAGTGGTTGGAAGTTTCACATAGAAGTTTGAGTTAAGCCACATTGCTGAGCAATGCCTCAGCATCCCAGTCTTCATCCAGACCTTCCAGGAGCCTGGCTGGAGGGGGTGTCTCTGGTGTGTCACTGAGCCTTATAGCAGAGGAAGGGGGCTATGGTGGAAACTACCTCCAAGATACCACTCAGTCCTAAGCTGGGGAACAAGCTGAGCTTGGATTCTGGTAGTGAATGAACCGGGGAACATTTATTTGAAGGGTTCTAAGAGTAGCATCGTGTGGGTGCGTTAATTGTATGTGAAGGGGAAGATCCTGAGAAAACAAGAGCTGCTCCACTCTGTGCCTGGGTTTACCAGAGGGACCGATGAGGTCCTCACAAGACCCAGGAATCCCACCGGGGGAAGGAGGCTTAGGGAGATGTGTTTAAGACTGTTAACTGAGTCACAGACAGAAGCAGATCAAGCCATCCCACCACCTAGGTTTGTGGTTTTGTTTCTCCTAAACTTCCTTTCTGTAAGTAGCAGAACCTTCTCATCACCATCCTTCAAAACCTCTGCATTGTTTGAGCTCCTTGTATTTTCTGGAGATTAATCTCTTGCTTGCAAATATTCTTTCCCATTCTGTAGGTGGTCTCTTCACTCTGCTGTTTGTTTCCTTGATTGTGCAGAAGGTTTGCAGTTTGCTATGATCTCATTTGCCTATTTTTGCTTTTGCTGCCTGAGCTTTTGAGGGTTTTTTTTTTTTTTTTTTTTTTTTGAGACGGAGTCTCGCTCTGTCACCCAGGCTGGAGTTCAGTGGCATGATCTCAGCTCATTGCAACCTCCGCCTCCCGGGTTCAAGTGATTCTCCTGCCTCAGCCTCCCTAGTAGCTAGGACTACAGGTGAGTGCCACCACACCCGGCTAATTTTTGTATTTTTAGTAGAGGCAGGGTTTCACCACGTTTGGCCAGGCTGGTCTCAAACTCCTGACTTCAAGTGATCCACCCACTTTGGCCTCCCAAAGTGCTGGGATTACAGGCGTGAGCCACTGCGCCCGGCGTTGTATTGGATTTTTAATTCAGCCCTATTTTCTCCGACATTTGATATTGGCATTTTTGTCTTTTTTGGATATGCTAGGATCATGGTGTCATAATTTAATTTTAATTTTTATTTTTATTTTAAGTTCCGGGGTACATGTGCAGAATGTGTGGGCTTATTGCATAGGTCAATGTGCGCCATGGTGGTTTCCTGCACCTGTCAACCCATCACCTAGGTATTAAGCCCAGCATACATTAGCTATTTTTCCTAATGCTCTCCCTACCCCTACCCCACCCCCCCCCGACAGGCCCCAGTGTGTGTTGTTCCCCTCCCTGTGTTCACGCATTCTCATTGTTCAGCACCCACTTGTAAGTGAGAACATGCAGCGTTTGATTTCCTGTTCCTGTGTTAGTTTCCTGAGGATAATGGTTTCCAGCTCCATCCATGTCCCTGCAAAGGACATGATCTTGTTTCTTTTTATGGCTTCATAGTATTCCGTGGTGTATATGTCTCACATTTTCTTTATCCAGTCTATCATTGATGGGCATTTGGGTTGATTCTATGTCTTTGCTATTGTGAATAGTGCTGCGATGAACACATGTGTGCATGTATCTTTGCAATAGAATGATTTATATTCCTTTGGGTATACGCGCAGTAATGGGACTGCTTTTACCTGTGCCAAAATACTGAAGTAGAAATGATTATTCACTCTAAAATGGAAGGTAATAAGATGTATACGTGAGCTATCAGATGCCTGGTGCTTATGAGTGAAGACAAGTCTGTCCAACGCTTCCCAACCCTGCATTCAGGGATGTCTCGTTGGCATCTTGATTATGGCCATGAAAAAAGAATTTACGTCAAGGAAATTGGTAAATGCCACTAATCATAGCATTTCAAAAAATGTCTTTTTCAGAATTAGCATACCATTGGGTCGTGACTTCAAATGCCAGTGTGTTGATTCCAGGTGGTGATATTTCAGGAGAAACTACACAGATAGCATCTGATAAGGAGGGAAGAGCTCATAGGGTCCACACAGGAGGTGAGGGCATCACGGTGCATTTATCTTTTCCTGGTCGGACTCTGATCTTCTCCCGTTGAATTAGTTCCTAAACCAGGTGCGGAACTCTGAACTGAAGACATGAAGACCCAGTAAAGTACACCAGGAAGTGTGGCAATGAGAAATGAAGAGGACTGTGTGACACGCCATGGACCAGAGCATGCAGGTGTGCAGAGGTGTGGACCCAACGCTGCCATGTGGGATGGAGCCTCATGTCTAAGTGTGGGAAAAGAGGCAGATCCAACCAAGGAAAGTCAACATTAATGGAGAGGAAAGGTATCACATTTTAATGGTTCTCCATGGATCACCCCAGAAAATGTCCCTGCACTCGGACATTGATTCCTTCCTCTGGAAATGACCAGCAGACAGTCCAGATAGCATCGGCCCTAGATTTTCTTCCAGAACCTCCTGGGATCATCAGATCTGTTCCTGAGGCTTCACGACTCTATAAAGTACATTATCCTCTCTGCTGTTCACCTCCCGGCTGCATCTTGGGAAGCTTCTCTGGCTGTGCCAAGCCTCAAATGACAGAATCCCGAGGACCACCAGGATCAAGCCAGCCACGCCCATGTGGATGAGATTCTCCACTGCGTAATCCTGAAGGTGTGAGGCTGGGGATGGTGGACAAAGAGGTCACAGAGGTCAGGGTGGATCAGATTGTCCACCCAGGGCACCCACCTCCCCTTCACAGGACCCAACCCTCAGTGCCAGCCCCATCACTGAGAGTATCTCCTCACATACCAGTCTCAGAGTCAGACTTGTTTTGTGATGGGCTGAGGGTATCAGCTGCTCCAGAGAATCAAAACAGAGAAAAAGAGACCTGAGCCCAGCCTCTCACCTGGGCTCTGCAATTTTTTTTTTATTACTTAATGTCTCATGATGTGACTTTTACAGAATTTCTAAAAAAAAAAAAAAAACCTCTTCCTCCGCTAGCAGGATTCCCTCTAGTCTCCTCATTGAACGATTTCAGTTTTCCTGTGTTCTATGGATTTAAACATTGCTCCTGAGTCATCTGGGAGAGAGTTTTCCTGCATCCTGAGAGCTCAGGATCTGCAAGGAAAGTGGTCCCCAGTACAGAGGTCACTGAGGCCTGTGTGCTCTCTGTGCAGCCTGGGACACAGGAGAACATGAGCCAACTCCCCCGGAGATGAGAGTTTCACGGATCCACCAGCTGAGGACCCAGGCTCCGTGGATGAGGGTTAGTCATCAGGGGAGCCTCAATGTCAGAAGCACAAAGGGGTGAAAGTCTGGGGCTGCCTCCCCTTCATGCCCTCAGCCACTTCACCTGGAGTTTCATCGTCCATTTAATCTCTAGGTAGCTAATTATTCGTATAGGCAGCAACAGGTAGAATGTGATACACACACAGAAAAACACAAACACAAATATATATCTGTTTTATATATATAGTGGGCCTTAAAAACTATCTCTGCCTTCTTGAAGTGTGGGTTCACCTGGAGACAAACAGCAAACATATAGAAACACAGCAGTGGAAATTTACTAGTCGTAGCAATGGTTTTAGATATATTGGTAGAGACCTATATTTATGTGTGAATATATATTATTTGTATAGATATACGGATAACTAGGTTTCAATGTCACGTAAGATGTCGGTGTGACCACACACGCGCACACACACACACACACGTATGTGCAGAGAGTGGAAGAGAGAGAGAAGGAATTCAGCCGCATGGTGTAGGTTGGTTAATTACTTGACATAAATGAGAAGCAGGCAGGACTGGGCTGAGCTGTGTCGTCAGTGAAGGTCACACTTGGAGGTGACATTGAAGCTGATTCCTCAATAGGAAAAAGGGCCAGGAAGGAGGCGTGTGGAGACCCAGACAGGGAGCAACAGAGGCTCCAGAAAGAGCAGGTCCCAGAAAGGTCTCAGCCTGTTCTTCAGAAAGGAATGGCCGCTTGTCTACAGGGTGGAGGAGGAGGCAGAGGAGGAGGGGAGATGAGCTTCGGGGCCTTGGTGGATTGAGAATAGGCCAGGATGAACCAGCCAGGAAAGAGCGGCCCCAATATCTCTCTCTCTGTCTCTCTGTCTCTGTCTCTGCCTCTCTCTCCCTCCCTCTGAGGTCTGGAAAGTGCTGTAGGGTTTCAAGGAGTGGTACCAGTCATTTGACGTTTTCTGAAAAGATAAGCCCTACCCCCTCCATAGCAAATGTCCAGAACGAAGGAAGTCCACATTTCTACCTGAAGTTTACAAAACCTCAGGGAGCACATGAGATCAGGGCTATTACGAAACCGGGTGAGAATAAAAATAGGTGATGCTGCAAATCTACTTTCACCAGCTTGGACAAAAAGGCCAATATGAGATTTTAAAAACCCAAATAAAAAATGTCAACGGCGCAGAAGAGGAGCGGTGCACATTCCCTGAGCTGCTGCGGGAGCACGTGCAAGTCCCTGTGAGGCTCAGGTGTGCGCTGAGTGCTGGGGAGGCTGCAGGGGAAAGCAGGAAGTGGGGCGGGGTGGGGGGGGGTCGGGGGTGGATGCAGGTGGCACCGGCAGCCTGGATGCTTCTCTCTCCAGGAGGGCGTCTGTTGGGGACTGGGACACAGAGGCTCTGATTCTGAGGTGGAGACACCAGGATGGGAGCAGGTGGGGCCTCCGTCTTCCACCCTCAGTCTAATCTCAACTCCTTTGAGGTTCACCCCCCGTCTCCTCCCAGCCCTCCCTGCACTTTACTCTACTGAGACTTCAGGGGTGGGAGCCAGGGGTGGGAGGTCCCTGTCTATTTCCATCTTCCCATGGGCTGGACCCTCCCCTGCGGACCCTCTCCCTTCACTCCCCTCTTTCCTTAGTGTCCAGAGCTCTGCTGGGGGCAGGGCCTGAGCTGAGCCTTTGAGCTCAGAGAGGACAGGGTCAGCGCCCTCACCTGAGACCACGAGCTCCACGGGGCCACTGGGGTGAGACAGCAGGTAGGGGTCGGAGCTGAGTGAGCCGTAGCACCTGTAGGTCCCCGTGTGGGCTGAGGTCACAGGACTCATGGGGAATTCAGCCTGGTACTTATGAGCTCCGTACTTTGATCTCAGACACAGCAGGGGATGGGCTGCCCCCTCCTTGGTCAGAAGGAAAGTGTGCATCCACTCTTGTGATTGACACAGCAGGGTCACGTTCTCTCCTGAGGCCACTGTGGGCCACAACTGCACCGAGAGGGAGGGTCTGCCAGGGATCTGTCCTGGACAGAAGACAGATGGGTGAGGGGCTGCCCCACCTTGTTCTGAGCTGAGACCTCCCCAGACCTCTCCCTGGGACCCTCAGTCTCTGTGTCTGTTTTCTGAGTCTTCCCCTCCCCCCATCCCCTGTCTCTGTCTGTCTCTCCCTCCCTTGGGACCCCCACCCCTCATCCCGGCCATCACCACCTGGGCTCCCCCGGCAATGCCTGTGCCGAGCCCGGGTCCCTGACTGAACCCGCTGGGCTCCTCACCTGCGATCAGGATGTCCAGGGGGTCACTGGGGGCCGACCACTCGGAGGAGAGGTTGTGTGCACCGGAGCATCTGTACTGGCCCCCGTGGGAGCCCCTCACAGGGCCCAGGGTGAAGTTGGCCTGGGAGAGCCCAGCCTGGGGCTGCTGGCCAGGGCGCTGGAGGAAGTCACATTCCCCCTCCTTGTACAGAGTGAATCTGTCGTAGCCGACATCAGAGCCACACTGGAGGGTCAGGGTCTCTCCAGGGGCCAGGACAGGGGGAGAGCTCTGTCCTCCCATGTCAGAGCCTCCCCATGGGGTCTCCCTCATGCCTTCAGCCCATCCATCAACACATCACTCTGGGTCCTTTCCAGATTCAGTCACCAGCCAAACTCCCCACAACCTGTCAGCTGTCCGGAAAGTGTGTTAGAGAAGGCCGTGGCTCCCTCACCTGAGGGCAGAATCTCCAGGGGGTCACTGGGGTGGGACCACACCTGGGGGGTGTTCATATAATAGTAATAGCATGTGAACCTCCACCTGTGGCTGGGGGTCACGGGGCCCACAGGGAACAGGGCCTGGAACCCCCCACTGTGGAGCTGCTGTGAGTCCAGGGTCCGGGGGAGCTGGTGTTCTCCTTCCTTCATCAGAACAAAATGGTGATATCCCTTCTGTGAGCCACATCGGAGGGTCACTTTCCCCCCTGAGGCCACCACAGGGCTGGGCAGGGCTGAGAGGGTGGGTTTGCTGTAGAATCCTAGGAGAGAAGGAGGCACCATGTTAAATGGGGCTCCCACCTCCCACATCATCCCCAGGGCTGGGCTGTGAGAGGGAGACACCCCTGAGAGCCAACCCCCTTCCTGAGGGCAGAGCCTGGGGCTGGGACCCCTGAGTGTCCTCTCACCTGTCATCACCAGCTCCAGGGGGTCACTGGGCTCTGACCAGCCTGCAGGGCTGAGATAGTAACACTGATATCTCACTGCATGGTGCTGTGTCATGGATGGGATGGAGTATCTGGCCTTGTTCCTGGTCTCCAGTGGATTCGTTCTGTCCCAGGGCTCTGTGCTTCCCTCTTTATACAGATGGTACTCCTGGGCTTCCAGGGTCCCCTGACACCACATGGTCATGGGGCTTCTCCAGCTGATCACAGAGCCTGGCTTAGCCCAGAGGGTGGGCTTGGGGAGAGTACATGGAAGGAAATCAAAGCCTGGATCCCAAGACCTTCCCCACCCCTCAGATCATCCCAGCTGCCTGCCCAGAACTGCTGTCTCCATCCCCAACTGTCCAGGGTGAGGAGGAGGGACCTGGGAGAGCTGGGGACAGACTCACCTGCCTGCATGCGGGTCCTGGGGCCCAGACTCAGCCCTGGAAGAGAATTCCCTGTGAGGGATTTGCCCCCTGAAGCCTGAGCAAGTCCTCCCCTGCCTGGGAGCTCCCTAAAGCCCTGGGATCTCTTGATGGACCAGGGCCTGTGGGGTTTCCTCTCTCCTCTTCAAATCTCACCAAAGCAAAGCAAAGCAAGGCTGTGAGGGCGGCGGTCATGGCGTCTCCTCTGCCTCCTTTCAGCTTTGCAAATGGATGAGCCGTTGGTGCTGGCAGGACAGAGAGACACACAGGGTGTGGCCCCTCAGAGGCTGGGTCCTTCTTGTCATGGGGTTATCTCATCCGCAGCCCACAGGAACGGAAACTGCCCTCCCCAGGAGGCTGGCTCTCATTTCCCCAGGGCTGAGATGGGGGTGGGCACCAGGCTCTCTGCAGACATTTCAGAGAGAAATGGGGTCTCCCTGCCCCCAGGCCACTGTCTGCCTGATCTGTCTTTATCTTACCGAGAGCCGGGACACAACAGCCATTAGACCTGATGCCTTCCGGAGTCAGCCCCTTTCAGGCGAGGGTGACCTCCTCCCGCTCAGAGCCTCCCCATGGGGTCTCCCTCCCTCCTTCAGCCCATCCATCAGCTCAGCGTTGCGGGGTCCTTACCATGGTCAGTGATTCTCCAGCCCTGGAGATGCTTCAGGGAAGACCCAGGTCCATGCTGCAGGCAGACTCAGATCAGCAGAGACGCACCTGACACCTGGCTGTGCAGCCGAGGCTGAGCTGCATGTGGCAGTGAGAACACAAGAGAGATGCAGGGAATAAAGAGAATAAAACATATGTTTTTCTGTCCCTGGAGTGTGTGTTTCCTTTCTGCCAAACAGTCCCTTTCTTGTCCCTTCAAGAACAGTCTCTTCCTTTCTACCAAACTTCCTATTTTTTTCCTTCCTTCCTTCCGTCCTCTTCCTCCCTCCCTCTCTCCCTCCTTCCTTCCCTCTGTCTTTCCTTCCTTTCTTTTTGCAGCAGCATCCACCCCCCACCCCTGAGAACAAACCTCTAAGTCATTCCTGCCTTCTCAGTGCCCCTCACTTCCTGGGCCTTCCTCTGTGCCTTAATCCACGTTTAAGGTTTTTGGAGCAATTACGTTAGGTTTGAGCTCTGATTTCGGACATTGGGTTGGGAGGTGACTTTTATTTAATTCCTGATTATCATCCCCTGCCTGTGTGACCTTGGGAAGTAATATCCCATCCCTGAGCCTCAATTTCCACGTTTGGAGCCTGTTGTCATGATCCCCACTCATCACAGTGGCTATGGGGGTCAGTGGTGCCCAGGACATGGGAGGGGCTCAGCCATGGTTAATTTCTAGACCAGTTAAGACAGGAGGGTGGGGATGGGAGAGGATCCTGATGTTGGGCTCCACAGTGGAGGACGATGATTGATGCCCCCATGAAGAGCCGACGTCAACTTTGAACACTGAGAAACCTAGTTACGATATTTCTGAATCCTGTAGTCATGGTCTTAATGTAGAAAAAGTTAAATAACAAATTCCTGAAATAGACAGGGTGCCGTAAGACAGATCATAGACCAGAGCTGAGGGACCACTGGTGCCTGGGACCACCCAGGGCTCATTAGTGGGGGAGATTTCCACCTCTGTGTGTGGGACAGAAGAGGAACCCCAGGTCCTCACAGGCAGGGAGGAGTCAGGGCTTTGGGTGAGGCTGGAAGCTGTGGTTCCTCCTCCCCTGTGTGTGTGGACAGGCGCTGGAAATATCTCTGCTCATTGACATGGGCCCGTGGTCCACACTGAATCATCTCCCTTGTTTGTGTGAAACAGATTCACCGCGACATTGTCAGATATGGGTGTCTGTCCCACGTGTGAGTGTGAGGTTCACACTAGACCCTCCTGTGCTGGGCAAAACCCTAAGCAGATGATATGTTTGGAGGAGTTGAGATCATGCAGCAGGGATAGCTGGAACAATCCCCTCTTTTTCAGTCTGACCCCCAGGAGAGCACTAAGAACTACCTTCCATGGATAATTAGGTGTGTAAGAAATGAACCATTCAACAAACACGGACAGCAAAGAGTAATCCCTATAACCACAAGAAGTGCCACCAACGACAACCTATTGACTCATTAAGAGTTTATTGTATATTTTCAGATAGCTAGAAGAGAGGATTTTGAATGTTTTCAACACAAAGAAACGATAAATGTTTGAAATGGCGGATATGTTCATTACTCTTATTTAACCATTACACATTATATATATGTGTTGAAATATCAACTCTATACCCTACAAATATATACAATTATTATGTGTCAATTATAAGTTATAATAAAGACGCACTTAATCCCAGCACTCTGGGAGGCCAAGGCAGGTGGATCACTTGAGCCCAGGAGTTCTAGCTCTTTGAAAACATACAATAAACTCAAAACCACTATGAGATACCATCTCACACCAGTTAGAATGGCAATCATTAAAAAGTCAGGAAACAACAGATGCTGGAGAAGATGTGGAGAAACAGGAAATCTTTTACACTGTTGGTGGGAGTGTAAATTAGTTCAACCATTATGGAAGACAGTGTGGCGATTCCTCAAGGATCTAGGACTAGAAATACCATTTGACCCAGTAATCCCATTACTGGGTATATACCCAAAGAATTATATATCATGCTATTATAAAGATACATGCACACGTATGTTTACTGTGGCACTATTCACAATAGCAAAGACTTGGAACCAACCCAAATGTCCATCAATGATAGACTGGATTAAGAAAATGTGGCACATATACACCATGGAATACTATGCAGCTATAAAAAAGGATGAGTTTATGTCCCTTGCAGGGACATGGATGAAGCTGGAAACCATCATTCTCAGTACACTATCACAAGGACAGAAAACCAAACACCGCATGTTCTCACTCATAGGTGGGAATTGAACAATGAGAACACCTGGACACAGGGCGGGGAACATCACTCACTGGGGACTGTCTGGGGCTGGGGGGCTGGGGGAGGGATAGCATTAGGAGAAATACCTAATGTAAATGACGAGTCGATGGGTGCAGCAAGCCAACATGGCACATGTATACCTATGTAACAAGCCTGCACGTTCTGCACGTGTACCCCAGAACGTAAAGTATAATAATAATAAAAAAAGAGTGGTCTCTGGGCTATAAGTTCCCTGCAGAGGGTTGCATCATTTATTTTTTCACTGTCCCCCACCCTAATGTTTGTAGGCTCATATATTATGCCAGTTAATATGCAAAGACTTTGGGATTCAGTACTGAATAAAGCTTCTAGGATACGCTAGAACTTAAAGTATAATAAAAACATCTAAAAAAGAAAATATACAGTAAACTATTGTTAACTATAGTCACCCTACAGTGCTGTAGGATACCAGAACTTATTTCCTCCATCTAGCTGTACAGTAAACTATTGTTAACTATAGTCACCCTACAGTGCTGTAGGATACCAGAACTTATTATTTCCTCCATCTAGCTGTACAGTAAACTATTGTTAACTATAGTCACCCTACAGTGCTATAGGATACCAGAACTTATTTCCTCCATCTAGCTGTACAGTAAACTATTGTTAACTATAGTCACCCTACAGTGCTGTAGGATACCAGAACTTATTTCCTCCATCTAGCTGTACAGTAAACTATTGTTAACTATAGTCACCCTACAGTGCTGTAGGGTACCAGAACTTATTTCCTCCATCTAGCTGTACAGTAAACTATTGTTAACTATAGTCACCCTACAGTGCTATAGGATGCCAGAACTTATTTCCTCCATCTAGCTGTACAGTAAACTATTGTTAACTATAGTCACCCTACGGTGCTGTAGGATACCAGAACTTATTATTTCCTCCATCTAGCTGTACAGTAAACTATTGTTAACTATAGTCACCCTACAGTGCTATAGGATACCAGAACTTATTTCCTCCATCTAGCTGTACAGTAAACTATTGTTAACTATAGTCACCCTACAGTGCTGTAGGATACCAGAACTTATTATTTCCTCCATCTAGCTGTAATTCTGTATCCTTTAACCAGCATTTCCCTCTCCCCTCTTCCCACCCTTCCCAGCCTCTAGTTACCACGACTCTGCTCTCTGCTTCTGAGATCAACTGTTTTAACTCCCACACATGAGTAAGAACACGCTACCTTTGTCTTTCTATGCCTGGCTTATCTCACTTATTTCCTCCAGGCTCATCCGTGTTGCCACAAATGACAGGATTTCATTCTTTTTAACGACTGGGTAATATTCCATTGTGTAAATGTACCACATTTTCCTTATCCATTCATCTGTACATAAACACTTAGGTTGCTTCCAAATCTTGGTTATTGTGAATAGTGCTGCAGTAAACACCAGGGTGAAGCTATCCTTTCAATATACTGATTGCCTTTCCTTTCGATCTATACCCAGAACTGGGCTGGCTGGGTCATAGGGTGGTTCTCTTTTTAGTTTTATGAGGAACCTATGTACTGTTTCCTGTAATGACCACACTCCTTCTTGTTGCCTTCAACAGTGCACAAGAGTCCCCTTTTCTCTGCATCCTAGCCACCACTTGTTATTTTTTGTCTTTTTGATAATGGCCTTTCTAAGTGGTGATAAAGAAGTGCTGGGAAGGGAAGGGTGTAGTCCCTTTAAATAATACAGAAGAGGGAAGGGAAGTGCTGGGCAGAGGAGGGCGTGGTCCCTGGCTAGGGCTCCACCCTCACAGACCTAGGTGAGGACGGGCACTTCCTGCCCAAATGTTGCATTTCCCAAGACCACCCTGGCCTGCCACGCCCCCATCCTGTGCCTATAAAACCCCCGAGACCCTAGCACGCAGACACACAGGCGTGAGCCACAGCACCTTGCTGAAGTACATCCACACCGTTGCGCAACCATCATCCCCATCCATCTCCAGATCTTTTTCATGATCCTAAACTGAAAATCTGTATGCATTAAATACCAATTCCCATTTTCTCTCCCCCAACCCCAGCCCCTGGAAGCCAATATTCTACTTTCTGTCTCTATGGGTTTGCCTATTCTATGCACTTCATATAAATAGAATCATACAATACTTGTCTTTTTGTGATTGCCTGATTTCAGTCTGCATAACATCTTCAAGTTTCACCCGTGTTGTAGAATGTGGCAATCATGATTTCATTCCTTGTAAGACATACATACTCTACTGTATGTCTACACTACAGTTTATGTCTCCACTCATCCATCTATGAACATTGGGTGGTTTATTCTTTTTGTTTGTTGTAAGTAATGCTGCTGTGCACATGGAGGTATAAATATCTGCTCAAGTATTTGCTTTGACTTCCCCTGGATATATACACAGAAGTAAAATGGCAAGATTACATGGCAAGGCTATGCTTCATTTTTTAAGAAGTCACCATACATCTGGGTAATTATGTACACCACGTTCGGTTTTGGCAGTCTCATAAGCAATATGAGGCCATGGCCATTCTCATTTTTATTCAGTACTGAATCCCTAAGTCTTTGCATATTAACTGGCATAATATATGAGCCTACAAACATTAGGGTGGGGGCAGTGACAAAATAGATGATGCAATCCTCTGCAGGGAACTTATAGCCCAGAGACCACTCTTTTTATTATTATTATTATTATTATACTGTAAGTTCTGGGATACATGTGCAGAACGTGCAGGTTTGTTACATAGGTATACAAGTGCCATGGCAATTTGCTGCACCCATCAACCCGTCGTCTACATTAGGTATTTCTCCTAATGCTATCCCTCCCCTACCCCCCTACCCAACCCCCTGACAGGCCCTGGTGTGTGAAGTTCCCTCTCTGTGTCCATGAGGACACATATATATCATATATATCACACCTGTAATCCCAGCACTTTGAAAGGCCGAGGCGGGTGGATAACTTGAGGACAGGAGTTTGAGACCAGCCTGGCCAACATGGCAAAACTTCATCTCTACTAAAAAAAAAAAATACAAAAACTGGCCAGATGCAGTGGCTCATGCCTGTAATCCCAGCACTTTGGGAGGCTGAAGTGGGCGGATCACAAGGTCAAGAGATTGGGACCATCCTGGCCAACATGGTGAAACCCCGTCTCTACTAAAAATACAAAAATTAGCTGGGCATGGTGGTGTGCACCTGGTAGTCCCAGCTACTCAGGAGGCTGAGGCAGGAGAATCGCTTGAATCCGGGAGGCAGAGGATGCAGTGAGCCGAGATCACGCCACTCCACTCCAGCCTGGCGACACAGCGAGACTCCATCTCAAAAAACAAGACAAAACAAAACAAGACTAGCTGGGTGTGGTGGTGCATACCTGTAATCCCATTTACTCGGCAGGCTGAGGCACAAGAATTGCTTGATCCTGGGAGGCGGGGGCTGCAGTGAGCTGAGATAGTGCCACTGCACTCCAGCCTGGGTGACAGACAGATTCTGCCTCAAAACAAAGAATAAGATACTGTCATTTTCAGCCACATTAATGGACCTGGTGGTCATTATTCTAAGAGAACTGACACAGAAAAAGAAAGCTGAATACTATATGTTGTCACTTATAAGTTGGAAGTAAATACTGAATACATAATGGACACATAGGAGGTAATAACACACAGTGGGGCCTCCTTGGTAATCACACACAGGGGGACCTCCTTGAGGGTTGAGGAAGTGGGGAGGGTGAGGACAGAAAAACTACCTATTTGGTACTATGCTTATCACCTGGATAACAAAATAATGTGTACTTCAAACCCTTGTAACACACAATTTACTTATATAACAAACCTGCACATGTACCTCTGAACCTAAAAGTTAAAAAAACACATTTATTTGCCACATATTTAATTTAGCACCATATTTTCACTTTCCATAATGATTCTTCTGATGGCAACTTTTCATTTTCATGTCTAGACAAAAACAAAATAAATTAATAATGGTTTCTCAGTTTGGCATTATCTAAAGTAGGATGAGAGTAGAATTCTATTACACTTACGTAATGCCATGCAGTGAAAAATTATTATTTCTAGCCACATTCAATTCGAAAAAAATTTTAATTTCCTAAAATTTAGACATTTTCCAAAGAATATAAATTAGAAACTATCAAAACATAGTTTTTATTTTTGCATTTTTTACTTGTTTAATAATTAACAAGTTGTTAAATTACAAAGTAAAATAATTGGTGTTAAAAATTGAGAAATATTAGATTCTTGGAAATTACAGATTAGTTCAGAGAAATAGATACTTTAAAAACTCAAAGCCATTTCTTGGTGGATACACAATAATCCATAACAGTTTGGCCCAAGTGTTGTAGAGGATGGGGAGAAAAATAAGAGAATAAGAAAAGAATATGAATTTCATATATGGTGTGCACATGAACCTGTTGAAAAATTTTCTTGGAAAGAAAATATTTTATAACAACAACTAGAATATATTTAGCAAATTTGTATCAGAGATCAACAAACCAACAAACACAAGTTAGAGAAAGGGGCATGTTGCCCATTAAGTCATAGAGAAAACATACAAATACATTTAAATTATACCAAATAAATCATGTAAGCAGGAGTGAGAATGACACAATTATGGTAAATAATGGAGACGAGAAAATACCTGTGAGTCCTAGACCCGTTGTGATTACGGGCCCCATATGTCCTTCAGTAACTACAATCATTTATGAAAAAGTAAATACTGGTCTTTGTTTCTTTTATCGAATTCTTTGTTTTTCTTATGGAAACACAATTAGGAAATAATGAGGCTATATTTTACTTTCTGGGATGGTGACAGGAAATTCCTCACCTCACGCTCCCGTGGCTAGGATCTCAGCTGTCAGAACAGACCAAGCGTTCACCACTTAGGGGCTGAGAGGAGGAACAGTTTCAGAAAGCTTTGGCTTCAGAACCCAGTGAATCTGGAGCAGATGAAAAGGTTTCGGAACTCTGAAAGCGCTTTTAAATACGGTTAAGGATCAGAGTTGCATTTATTAGACATGAACACCCATATAGTCCCTGATTATTCCTGCTCTCTAAGCCTTGACAATTCTTAGTCACGTTTTGTAAAAGTGAGATTTATATTTTTCTAAATGAAAGATATAATTTACCTTCTTCACGCCGATCTGAGAAATTGTCTATAGACATATATTACTGGTGAAATCAAGTGCATTCGGCTCCCCGGAACCCATAAGAAAGGAGATGAAAGTGTACCGTTTTGCAATCATCACAGAAGGTTTTCAGAGACGTACAGCCATTGCCAACCAAAGTGCAGCATGCAGCCACCAGAGATATTTCAAATGTCCTAAGTACCAGTTGCCATTAGACAACAGGTGTGTGAACAGGAGCCAAGACCTGAACACACTCTTACCCCTCGTACAAAGAGGAGAGCTAAGACTATGAGGTTTGGTATATTTATTCAGACAGAGTCTTTCAGATGGGGCTATGACAGAGAAGGTAAACAGGAGATGCCAGGCAGCCCTGAGTGGGAAGGCTGGGGTGGTTCTGTGTCTCAGGAACTCTCAGAAAATACCCCTGCCCCATGTTTCTTTTCCATGTTCAGTTTTGACCTTAGGGGAAATAGACCGGGATGTTTACACCATATATATATATATATATATATATATATATATATATATATATATATATATATATATATACACACACATATATGTTGCAACAAATATTCTACATCTCTAAGAATATGGCTCTCTAACTGAAAGAAGGTCCACTTACCAAATGCAGTTTCTTGCTGGGAAAGCAACTGCCATAGTCACAGTCTAAGCACCTCCACAAAAGGGGGCATCTTAACCCTGAGATAAAGGCTTAAGACTACCATGAGATCCTTTTCTTGCCGGGAAGTGATTATCATTTCATCTGCAAGTACAGTGACAGTGTTTGCATAGGGATTTCAGTTGATCTAGAAAAACATCCGTGAAATGTTCAAATTACTGAAAGCTATTCGTAGCTATTAGTTTTAGTCGACTGAGAAAGTTGGAGCAAGAAAGAGAGAGATGGAAAGAAACAGAACAATAGAGAGACAGAGACAGGAAGAGACAGAGAAACTTAGAGAGGAAATCATATCTGGGAAGCTTGAAGTAGACTAGGTAGAGACGGCATTGCAGCCAAGGACATTGAGATCTAACTGAGAGAAGGAAAGTAAGGATAAGGCTGGGGTTTGTTTCTTGCCAACCTTAAGGTTTTGCCTCCCCCAAGAATATTTTTCCATTCTGAGGACTTTGCACTAAAGGCAGCCTGGAAGGGAGAAAAAAAGAGAGAATCAAGTAGAAATCATTTGCTCCAGTGTTAAAAATAAACTTGGAAGAAGTGGAGACACTTTTATTCACTGTTTTCATGGGCACACATTAAGTATCTAATGGGTCAAACGTGATTCTTGGTGTATAAGATGTATCAGAAAAAAGACAGAAAGACTTCTAAAAAAGTGTCTGTATTGAATCAATATTATAGTTGAGAAAGATGGATATTAGACAACAACAAAAATTAATAGAAAATCCAATATGTTATAGGATGATACATGTCTTGTGAGCAAAATAACAATAAAGTAATAGCAGAGAGCTCCCCTGAGCAAGAAGAAATTCTTCCAGCAGATTGTCTTTGGATTTTTTAGTTTGCTACAACTCTTTCCTGAGTCTCCAGGATACTCTACTGTCCTGCAGATTTTGGACTCACCAAGCTCCTACAATCACATGAGCCAATTCCTAGGTAAATGAATAGATAAACAAATAAATAGATAGATAGATAAATAGATAGATACATAGATACATGGATAGATACATAGATAGATACATAGATACACAGATAGACACATAAATAAACATTCTGCTGGTTCAATTTCTCTGGAGAACCCTTGAAAAAAAAATCATTTTGGTTCCAGGGATGATTCCAAAGGAACAGAATTTTTAAGGATGAGTTTTCTGAATTGGATCCAAAGTTTCTGAAATCGGCTTTCTAATTTGATTAGATTTAAAAACACTAATGACTCCATTTCCAGTAGTGTTGATAGTGCATAACATGATGTGGCCATAGGGATACACCAAATGTCATCATTGGAAACGCCTAACAAACATTTATAAGAATCTGAGTGGGCCGGGTGCGGTGGCTCACCCCTGTAATCCCAGCACTTTGGGACGCCGAGGCGGGTGGATCACGAGGTCAGGAGATCGAGACCATCCTAGCTAGCACGGTGAAACCCCATCTTTCCTAAAAAAAAAAAAAATACTAAAAAATTAGCCAGGTGTGGTGGTGGGCGCCTGTAGTCCCAGCTACTTGGGAGGCTGAGGCAGGAGAATGGCATGAACCTGGGAGGCGGAGCTTGCAGTGAGCGGAGACCATGCCACTGCACTCCAGCCTGGGCGACAGAGCAAGACTCCGTCTCAAAAAAAAAAAAAAGAATCTGAGTGATCATGTACATAATACTTTTGAATGTTTTTGAAAACTAATGAGCATAATGAGATTGGCTGGGTTGTCACTGGACAAAGTTGGGGAAAGAAGAGGATGAATTCAAAGATTTGAATTTTCAGTTCAAGTGCAAACATAAATGAGCTAAGACTTCTATATCTGCCCTAAAAGATACTCATCATTTGTAGCCACAGGGCTGAGGCCTTTGAAAAGTCAAACCTGGGGCCAGGTGCGGTGGCTCACGCCTGTAATCCTAGCACTTCGGGAGGCCGAGGTGGGCAGATCATGTGAGGTCAGGAGTTCGTGACCAGTCTGGCCAACTTGGCGAAATCCCGTCTCTACTAGAAATACAAAAATTAGCCAGGTGTGGTGGCTGGTGCCTGTAATCCCAGCTACTCAAGAGGCTGAGGCAGGAGAATTGCTTGAACTCAGGAGGTGGAGGTTGCAGTGAGTCGAGATCGTGCCATTGCATTCCAGCCTGGGGGACAAGGGCAAGACTCTGTCTCAAAAAAAAAAAAAAAGAAAAAGAAAAAGCAAACCCAGAAACTCACCCTTCAAGTGGCTAAATTACAATACAAATGGAATTCCCAGCCTCAAAGGGTGTCTACTTTAAGGGTATTGATTCGGAAGGTGTGGAATCTTGACATTTGGAATAGGGATGTGTGAAAGACACTGATGAAGGTAAGGACAGTGAGTTCCTTAATCATGCTCTTTGACAATGGAAGCATTCTCTCCCCGTGCATCTGAGGAGATTAACCCTGCACTGTCTGAGGAAACAATAGTGGCCTCCGCGGAGGCAGTTGCCATGCAAGACAGTGCTAATTTTCCTCAGGATCCGCCCCCACTACCCATCTTTGCTTCTAAGCCATAGGTTCAATGTGTGATCCATGGGGAAATGTGCTACACTCCAAAGTGACTACTAAGTTCTTCTGATTTATACACCTAGAAATCTAGGGAACATGTGTGCGAATGGACATTAAGGGTGTTGGATAATGGTGAAAGGAAGATAAAGTTGAGCCAGGCCAATGTTATTGATATGGACCTACTAAGGAGAGATCCTGCATTTAATGTTGCATCTCAGTGAGCTAGACATGGCTCTAACAGTTTGTCTGGTTCATTGGCTAAAACATGGAACAAACGTTGGCCCACAGTAAGAGGGGCCATATTGTATTCATAATGCACATTCCTAGAGAAATAAACAGATAGCTAGATAGACAGAGGATAGGTATATACATAAATAAACATCTGATTGGTTCCATTTCTCTGAAGAAAACTCTTGCAAAAACAGATTTTAGTCTAAGGGATAATCGCACTCAAACTTTATTGCACTCATAATATACACTCATGAGCAGCCAAGGAAACTCAGTATTCTGTATGACGAAGGAAGTTCCAGGATGCTTCCCTCTTGGCTTCCTGTCTGCCTACCCTGGTGTAGAGTACAAAAATAATTGCCTATTTAGATAGCAACATTCCATGGTCCAGCTAGACGTCATCAACCTCTTGAGCTTCCCCACATCCTGTTCAATTTTGGCTCCTATTCAAGGTCTCCAACAGACCTGGCCCTGTATCTAGACACCATTCCTATTTCCTCTATCAGGCCCCAGCCCCAGGAGAGTGGCTCCTGTGGTCGCTGTCCACAGCACTGACTGGGATGTTGCCATGAACTCTAGTTTCAGCACCATGGTCAGAGTCCAGGAAGCAACAAGGCTTCCACTGTTTTCTGGTGTGTTAGTTGATACATTTGTATGAGCTGGGCCCCCTCTTAGAGACTCCTAAATAGAGATTCCCTGAAGGTGTCTAATAAATATTTAGCGAATGCATCAGAATAAATTGGAAAAAGACACATCCACTCCATGGATTCTGAATAGGAATGGAATTCAGAAGCTTATGATGTTAGCCGCTCACCCAGCAGGACAACCACTAGCACGGCCCAGGGTGGCATTTAGAGTTGGCTCTTCCTCATCCACCTCAGGTCATCTCTTTCCAGACCATGTTCAGGAAACCAGTTTATAGGGTATTGACTAAAAAGCAACAGGCTTGGGGCCAGACACAGTGGCTGACGCCTGTAATCCCAGCACTTTGGGAGGCTGAGGAGGGATGATCATGAGGTCAGGAGATGGAGACCATCCTGGCTAATATAGTGAAACCCTGTCTCCACCAAAAATACAAAAAAAAAAAAAAAAGAAAATTAGCCAGTCGTGGTGGCGGGTGCCTGTAGTCCCAGCTACTTGGGAGGCTGAGGCAGGAGAATGGTATGAACCCAGGAAGCAGAGCTTGCAGAGAGCTGAGATCACGTGACTGCACTCCAGCCTGGGCAACAGAGTAAGACTCGGTCTCAAAAAAAAAAAAAAAAGCAACAGGCTTGGAGTTACATCACAGTACTTTCAAAACCTACATCTGCCTCTTGCTATCTCTGTCTCCTTGGGAAAGTCACTTTGCCTCTCTGAGGCTCACTTTGCTTTTCTATAAAATTGCAATAATAAAAATGTCTTCTTTGTAAGGATATTTGGTGGGTTGACAATCAGAGATTATTATATTCTACCTCTCATAGGAAGCAATCAGTTGAACTAACAGGGAAGACTCTGGAGCCAGGAAGCCTGAGATTTGATCACAGCTCTGCCCCTTTTAACTTCGTGAGTTAGGGAAAGTTACCCACATTGCTATTGTGTCATATATAAACTTAGTATAGTGCTAGTATCTACCTTACATGGTTTTGGTGGGGAACTACATAGTTAATACATGTGATGTACAAAGTGAAATTCTACCATGTTCTTAGCAGTCATTCAATAATGTGGGCTATTTTTTACTATGATTATTATTTTCATTATATGCCTAGAGATAACCTGATGAACTATGCTCAGTAAATGACAGCTGCTTTTATGAAGAATTGCTAGAATTGCTGTGAAGGTTCTTAGGCATCTGACACATTCCCTGGTTTATGTTCTAACATTCTAGACTCTCCATCTGAGGTTTATAGACTCTTTATCAGCCCTGAGGGATGCAGGTATTTGTTTATTACTAGATTCATGCAGAAAACATCCCCTGGGTCTCTGGCGTGCCATATCCCATGCAGGAAATGGGTGATGTGAAAGATGGATATTAGAAGCTTAGAATATCTTAGCTTAGTTTAGATAGCTAAGCTTCTAAGCTTAGATTAGAAGATAGCTTAGAAGACTATAGCTTAGGTAGCTTAATGGCTTAGAATCTTCTAAACTTATTAGAAGATAGTTTGGAAGCTTATCTAGCTTAGATAGTTTAGAAGAAGCTTAGCTATCTTCTTAGCTTAGCTTAGAAGATAGCTTAGAAAATAGCTGCATTTTTTAATAAATAGCTTAGAAGGTATATAAGCTCTGGGAAACTTTGTAATTTTGAGTTGGTCTGGCAATGTTTTCCAGGCCTTCTCCCTGTAACCGGTAACAGAAATAAAAACTCTCTCCCTCCCCAGTTCATCCGCATCTCATTATTGGGCCATGAGAAATAGCAGCCCCACCCTCAGTTTGGTCTGGGAACACTTTGGGGGTAAGATTAGGACTGTAACCCGCAAGTGTTCTTGGGGCAAACAGGGTCACTCTCTGTCAAAACATCTGAGTCATTTCTCCTTCCTTACTACCTCTTTTCTTCCCTGCTCACAGCCCTCAGCTGATACCATGGATTCTGTCTCCATGCTTTGGGCAAGAGTGATCCCCGGAGGAAATGAACAGGTGTTAATGTAAGACATGAGGGTGGAATTTACTGATGGTTGACCTTGATCATGTAACACCTCTTTCCCATTTTCCTCCTTATAGAAGAAGATAATGACCCATATCTCAGGGTTGGTTTGAGGATGAGTATTGCCTGAGACATGTAAGGCTCTCAATCTCGTGTAATCTCTTTTACCAGATCCAGACACGTGGTGTAAGAGCCTTTATGTTCCAAAGGTAAGTCAGGAACAATCCGTCATCACGGGTGGAATGGTAAAGTGTCAGAAAAAGTTACAGACTGCAGGAATCCTGGAGCTCATCCCGAATTCTGTACTCAGCCACATTAGAATTTAAGATGTAAGGTGAAAAGATCAGCTTCATGTCTGAACACTGTGGGACTTAGGACGTCTCTCACTTATTAGGAATCTTACCTCACATTAAAAAAAAAAAAACACTGGGTCATGTTGCAACTTTTTAAGATAAAAGAAATCTGCATAGAACCATGCTCTTTTTTCTTAAATTTCCATTCACTGAAGTAAAATACAGATAATGTAAAATTGACCCTTTAAAAGTATACAACTCTAGGCCGGGCGCAGTGGCTCACGCCTATAATCCCAGCACTTTGGGGGGCCGAGGCGGGTGGATCACCTGAGGTCAGGAGTTCAAGACCAGCCTGGCCAACATGGTGAAACTCCGTCTCTACTAAAAATACAGAAAAATTAGACAGGTGTTGTGGTGGCCACCTGCAATCCCAGCTACTTGGGGGGCTGAGGCAGGAAAATCGCTTGAAACTGAGAGGCGGAAGTTGCAGAGACGCGAGAATACACCACTGCACTCCAGCCTGGGCAATAAAAGTGAAACTCCGTCTCAAAAAAAAAATACATATATATATATATACAACTCTGTGGCATTTAGTAGATTTTCATTGCAGCAACTGCCACCTCTAGTTCCCAAAGATTTTCATCACCCCAAAAGGAACCCCGTTCCACGGAGCAGTCCCTCTCCTCTCCCTACCCCTGCTCAGCCCCAGGCAACCATCAATCTGCTTTCTGTCTCTGTGGATTTCCAGCTGCTGGACATTTTATATAAATGTAATCATATAGTATGTGACCTTTGGATCTGGCTTCTTTCACTTAGCTTCATATTTTGAATCTCCAAATTGCAGCATGCATCAGTACTTCATTTTTATGGATGAGTAAATTTCTAACATATGGATGCAACACGTTGGTTGGTGGACATTTGTGATACTTTTATCTTTTTATTGTGAATAATGCTTCTATAAACACTTGGGCACAAGTGTTTGGATATTGTCCAATGAGATAAGTCTCTTATCATTTCAGGAGATTTATTTGCCAAAGTTAAAGATGTGCCTGGGAGACAGATCTATGCCTTTCTCTGAAGATGATTTTGAGGGATCCAAATTTAAAGGGTAAAGGGCGGGATATTGAGAAGCACACAATTTTCATGTAAGAGGAGGGTAAGGAAAAATAGTTACGCATGCCTTTGTCTAGCTCAGTGAATCTGTATTTTTTTTAAAAATAGTCATTCATGCCTTTGTCTGGTTCAGTGAATCTGCACTTTTTACATCAGACGACAAAAACAAATGGGGCAGAGGAAAATATGCAGTGAATCTGCATTTTACATAAGATAAACATAGACAAAATTGGGTGGGGGAATGATCAGATATGCATTTGTGTCTGATGGGCTGGGGAGACTGTACCTGGAAAGATAAGTTATCAATATACACTGGAAAGATAAGCTATCAATATACACTGGAAAGATAAGCTATCAATATGCATTGGAAAGATAAGCTATCAATATACACTGGAAAGATAAGCTATCAATATACACTGGAAAGATAAGCTATCAATATACATTGGAAAGATAAGCTATCAATATACACTGGAAAGATAAGCTATCAATATACACTGGAAAGATAAGCTATCAATATACACTGGAAAGATAAGCTATCAACATACACTGGAAAGATAAGCTATCAGTATACACTGGAAAGATAAGCTATCAGTATGCACTGGAAAGATAAGCTATCAGTATACACTGGAAAGATAAGCTATCAGTATACATTGGAAAGATAAGCTATCATACACTGGAAAGATAAGATATCAATATACACTGGAAAGATAAGCTATCAGTATACACTGGAAAGATAAGCTATCAATATACATTGGAAAGATAAGCTATCAATTTACATTGCCATGGTGAAATTTTAACAGCTCACTAGGAATCTTCTTGTGGGCAAAACGTGGGGGAGGCATGTAGCTTTTCACCTTGTAGCCATCTTATTCACGAACCAAAATGGAGAGGCAGGTTTGTGTGACCCAGTCCCCAGCTTGACTTTCCCCCTTAGCTAAATGAGTGTGGGGTCCCAAAATTTAATTTCCTTTCACAATATCTACTATCAGTCTTTTTTTTTATTGTGGTAGGAAGAGTTAATTCTCCTACCAATTTTTAACTTCATGATGCAGTATTGTTAACTAAAGACAAAATGTTGTAGGGTACATTGCAAACTTCATTCGTCTTGTATAACCTAAACCTTTAGTCACATACCTAGAAGTGAAATTTCTAGATCATAGAGTAATTCTAGGTTTATTTTTTATTTTATTTTATATTATTATTTTATTTTATTTTATATTCAAAAGGTACATGTGCTTGTTTGGTGTATGTATGTGTGTGTGTGTATATATATATATAAATAGATAGATAGATTTTTTTTTTTTTGAGATGGAGTTTCACTCTTGTTGCTCAGGCTGGAGTGCAGTGGTGCGATCTCGGCTCACCGCAACCTCCACCTTCCAGGTTTAAGCAATTCTCCTGCCTCAGCCTCCCGAGTAGCTGGAATTACAGGCATGCACCACCATGCCCAGCTAATTTTGTATTTTTAGTAGAGATGGGGTTTCTGCACATTGACCAGGCAGGTCTCGAACTCCTGACCTCAGGTGATCCCCCCCATCTCTGCCTCCCAAAGTGCTGGGATTACAGGCGTGAGCCACCGCACCCAGCCCTAATATATTTTTTTAACCTCTTGCCCTCCTCCCACCCTTCCCCCCTTTTGGGTTTCCCTGTGTTTATCTCCATCTTTATGTCCATGAGTGCCTATTGTGTAGCTCCCACTTGTAAGTGAGATCATGCAGTGTTTGGTATTCTGATTCTGAGTTAGTTCACGTAGGATCATGGCCTCCAGCTCCATCCATGTTCCTGCAAAGGACATGATTTCACTATTTTTTATGGCTATGCTGTATTCTGGGCTATATATTTACCACTTTTACTTTATCCATGCCACGATGGATGGACATCTAGGATGGTTCCATGACTTTGCTATTGTGAATAGCACCACGGTGAACATACGAGTGCGTGTGTCTTTTTTAATATAATTATTTCTTTTACAGTAGTGGGATTGCTGGGTCAAACGGCAGTTCTGTATTTAGTTCTTTGAGAAACCTCTATGCTGTTTTCCATAGAAGTTGAGCTAATTTACCACCAACAGCATATAAGCCTTCCTAGGTTCATCTTTTAAGGAACTGTCAAACCGCTTTTTTCTTTTTCTTCTTTCTCTCTTTTTCTTTCTTTCTTTCTTTTCTTTCCTCTCTCTCTCTCCCCCTCCGTCCCTCCCTCCCTCCCTCCCTCTCTCTCTCTCTCTCTCTCTCTCTTTCTTTCTTTCTTTTTGATGGAGTCTGGCTCTGTCACCCAGGCTGGAGTGCAGCGGCACGATCTCGGCTCACTGCAACCTCTGCTCCTGGGTTCAAGCTATTCTGCCTCAGCCTCCTGAGTAGCTGGGATTACAGGCACCTGCACCGTGCCCAGATAATTTTTGCACTTTCAGTAGAGAAGGGGTTTTGCCATTTTGGCCAGGCCGGTCTCAAACTCCTGACCTGAGGTGATCCTCCTGCCTCGGCCTCCCAAAGTGCTGGGATTACAAACGTGAACCACCACGCCCGGCCTCCAAACCACTTTTCACAGTCACCGAAAAATTTCACAATCATGCCAGCAGTGCGTGAAGGTTCTCTTTCCGCACACCCTTCCTGACATTTGTTATTTTTCAGAATATGGCCAATCCAGTGTTTGAAGTAGTGTCTCACTGTGGATTCCTATGAATTTTTATAATAAGTAATGGTTTGGGTGTCTTTTGATGTGCTCACATTTATTCCTATATCTTGGGAGGATGTTGATAGAGGGGTCCAAAATTCCAGTTTGACAGAATAACTTCCAGATCTATGCTACAACATGGTGACTATAGTTAATAACGATATATTCTATTCTTGAAAATCACTGTGAGAGTAGATTTAAGAGTTCTCACCACAAACAGTAGTAAGTATGTGAACTGATGTGTATGTTTATTAGATCGATTTAGCCAACCCACAAATAGGAATGTTGCAATACCACATGTTGTATACAGTAAAAATATACAATTTAGGGAAACTTTTTTTTTTTTTTTTTGAGACGGAGTCTCTCTTTGTCGCCCAGGCTGGAGTGCAATGGCACAATCTTGGCTCACTGCAAGCTCCGCCTCAATTTAGGGAAACATTTTAAAAGCTGTGTTACTAACATGAAGTTCTACATTCACACGACTAATGCCAGCTTCAATGGACACGGGTTGGAGGTTTCTTACCTGAGACCATGAGCTCCAGTGATATGGCTTTGGTGACTAGGGTTTTTGGTCTCATGCCAGTTTAGATAAAACAATAAGGACACACGTGGAGTGGTTTTAAGGAGCAAAAAGTTTAATAGGCAAGAAAGAAGAAAGAAAGAAGAAAAGAGCTCCTCTGTACAGAGCCAAGGGAGGGGAGCTTGGAACAAAGAAGAACCCCGTGTGTGGTGGAAAAGTGGTTGCTTATATTGGGAGGCTGGAGGAGGCAAGTGTCTGGTTTGCATAGGGCCCAGGGGATTGGTTAGGCCAGGTGTGTCATTTACATAGCCCTCGAAAAACTTGTTCCTCCCACCTTAGCCTTTTAATATGCAAATGTGGGCCACCATGATGCTTTGTGTTATTTGGAGGTGGCCATCACGCTTGGCACAGGTGGTGATAAGAAGATGGCAGAAATCACCATATTGCATGAACCCATGTTTTAATGGCCAGCATTTGAATTTTAAAGCTTGCCGGCCAGGCTCTTTAAGACAGCTTCTCTGTTAGAAAAGAGATGGTTCAGGGGTTGTTTCTTATTACAGGAAAATTTCCACCAAGAACCTTTACCCTTACTATGTGCCTAAAATAATTCCTTAATAACTCCTGTATTATTCCTCCCCTTAAAGAGAGGCAAAGCTAACTGCTGTTAGTGCGTGTTGGATCATGTTTCTTTCTGGCTACTTCCTGCTGAAAAGGGGTGTTGTGTGGGGGAACAGCAGTTGGGCCTTTTTCTGAGGTTGATTTAAGGTTTCTCAAAAGAATGGCGTGTCCATGTGTGGCTTTGCTTGCAGCACCATTTGGAGTTTAATTACTTTTAGGCAAAAAGAGAGAAATTTTACAAGAAGGTTTAAAATATAGGGTTAGAATATGAGTATTAAGATTACCACCATTGGGGCTGGGTGTGGTGGTTCATGTCTGTAATCCCAGCACTTTGGGAGGCCAACGCGGGCAGATCACCTGAGGACAGGAATTCAAGACCAGCCTGGCCAGCATGGTGAAACCTCATCTCTACTAAAAATACAAAAATTAGCCGGGCATGATGGTGAGTTCCTGTAATCCCAGCAACTTGGGAGGTTGAGGCAGGAGAATCACTTGAACCCGGGAGGCGGAGGTTGCAGTGAGCTGAGGTTGTGCCACTGCATTCCAGCCTGGGCAACAGAGCAAGACTCTGTTTCAAAAAAAAAAAAAATACCATCGTTAGTGGCAGTCCTACAGACCCTAAGTGACAGTGGAGTTTGACACCTGTTGTTGTATCAATGGATTGCAATACAGGTTTTCCTCCACTAGATGTCGGTGTACATTACCAGGAACGTTACTGTAAAAGTAACTTTTTCCTAGAGAAAAGCATATGTTTCCTCCTTAACGTGCCAGTAGAGAATAACTTTAGGCTTAGGCCATTTTTACTACTTGCAGTATGATTGGGAGAAATACATTATTGGGTGGCTAAAATAACTTTAGCGTTAATTTTGACTTTTTTTAATTATTAAATTTTTTATGACTTTCACAGACTCTCTTACAACACACTTAAACTTTTAGACTTGTCCTAAACATTCTTCCTTTAAACAACCAGTTATTTTCTTTTAGGACAAGTATTCACCATACAAAATCCTTTTTTATGTAAATGTTTTTATAACCTTTTTATAGCTTACAGTGCATTATATCACCAACCTTTGGTAAAAAGTTTTATTACACTTAATGCTAGTAAAACTTTAATGCTTGCTTTTTATTCGTTACTATTACTTCTGCTATAAGCAAAACAACCTTGATTAAATTTTTTCTGCAATTATTAATTTTGTTATAAGGATGATAATCAGGCAAAATATTACCACAATTACAATTTTACAACCAGAATTCTACATTGTGGGTGCCACAGAGTATAGTTTCATTGCAAATAGCAGTGTGACTACAACAATTTTCACAAGAATGGCTTTTTTTTTTTTTCTGGCCAGTAATTTTTGTTTAAAACTTTACTTGCTGGCCGGGTGTGGTGGCTCACACCTGTAATCCCAGCACTTTGGGAGGCCCAGGCGGGTGGATCACGAGGTCAGGAGATCGAGACCATCCTGGCTAACATGGTGAAACCCCGTCTCTCTAAAAATACACAAAATGAGCCAGGCGTGGTGGCGGGCGCCTGTAGTCCCAGCTACTCGGGAGGCTGAGGCAGGAGAATGGTGTGAACTCGGGAGGCGGAGCTTGCAGTGAGCTGAGATTGCACCACTGCACTCCAGGCTGGGCAACAGAGCGAGACTCTGTCTCAAAAAAAAAAAAAAAAAAACTTGCCAAGATATAACATTTTCCTTTGGGGATTCAGAAAGTTACAAATGTGATTTTATGAATATTTAAATTTTGCTGCAAATAAGTGTTAAAAAGAAGTTTTAATATTTGGCCGTGAACTTTGTGAGAAAAGGTTAGAAATAATAAAACATATTTGGTGGGTAGGAGTGGGACTGAGTAAGATGTGTAGCCCTTACTTAGTTACTTATCTTCTATGATTTTTAGCTTAAGATCTTCTATTTTTTTACATTAATATTTAGCTTTTTTTTTTTTTACTGTTAGGGGTTGGTTTTTTAGCTTTTTGGCTTTGACTTGAGTGTGATGCATGTAGAAGTTGATTCCTGTAACTTTTACTGCCGAGGAGGTTGAAAGACGAACAGTGTAGGGCCCTTTTTAGCTTGGCTTAGGGAAGGAGACAGAGATGAGAGTTCTTACTAATACTAAATTTCCTGAGTTAAATAAAGGTGGTTTTATTTCCTAGGGCTGGGCTTCTGCTATTGTGTCAATTTTTGTTGGAAGTGAGCTAGAGAGGTTACGTGGTTAACCATTCTAGAGGTTTCCCGTCTGAAAACAATGTTTGAGCCCATTGATAAGTTTTATTTTTTCCTGAGTGAAAAGCTTAGGACTTCAAGAACTTTCTGTTGGCTGGAGGCTGACCAATAAATTTGCCATCCTGACTGTAGCCATCCTGAGGGCTGAAAAGTATGCCCTTGAGAAGTGGCTTATTCTATTTTTTCAGGGGAATACTGAGGTGTGATTTCTCTTATGGAGCCTTTTTAGATTAGAAGGGGCTTGAAGTGCATTAAGGCCTTGAAGCTTTTATGCCTTTGACTTAGCTGCCCGATTGGCTAACTTATTTCCTTTGGCTACCTTATTGTTTATTCTTTGATGTTTCTTACAATGCATCCCTGCTACTTTTTGTGGAAGAAAAAATAAGAATAACTTGCTAATTTTTTGGTGATTTTTTATAGGAGATTTATTAGCAGTAAGAACATGTTTTTTTGTTTTAAATGGCAGCATGAGCATGGAGAACCAAGAAAGCATACTTGGAGTTAGTGTAAATGTTAGCTGCCTTTTCCTTGCTTAATTTAAGTGCTTTTTAAAGAGCTATTAACTCAGCTAATTGAGTGTTTGTGCCTGGAGAGAGTGACTACTGCTTATTCTGCCTTATTTACTTTTTGCTTTACGGGCTGTTTACCAGCTAAGAGCTCCCCCTAGAGGACAGTGATTCTGCTACATTATGTGGGCTGTAAACAGTTAAATTATTTTTATTTTCTAGGGTTAACTTGCAGGCTTTTCTGACTAGTAGAGCTATCATGACAATGGCTTCAATGGCTTGAAAGCATGTTTTTTTGATTTTTTGTTTGTTTGTTTGTTTGTTTTAGATGGAGTTTCACTCTTGTTGCCCAGGCTGGAGTGCAATAGAGCGATCTCGGCTCACTGCAACCTCTGCCTCTTGGGTTCATGCAATTCTCCTGCCTCAGCCTCCCAAGTAGCTTGGATTACAGGCATGTGCCACCACACCTGGCTAATTTTTTGTATTTTTAGTAGAGATGAGGTTTCTCCATGTTGGCCAGACTGGTCTTGAACTCCCAACCTCAGGTGATCCACCCACGTCAGTCTCCCAAAGTGCTGGGACTACAGGCGTGAGCCACCGTGCCTGACCGAAAGCATGTTTTAACTAAGATTGAGAAAATATTGGATTAGACTTTTTCCTAAGATGCCCCTTACGGTTGTGATGAAGGAAGAAGGGAGGCCTGGATTAGAGAATAGAAAAGAGAGAGAGACTAGCTTTAGTGTTTAGAAGGAGGTCTACTTTCCTTCCTTTAATTTCCAGAATTATCCAGGGCTCTTGTGCTATAATGGCAGTTTGAGCTACTGGAGCCTAGGTTCAAGCACCAGGATCCATCAGTTTTGCTGGACCATCTGTGAGACTGGTTTTGAACTCAGTGACCTCCATGTCTGGGGGCAGTTCTGTTTTCAGTGGTTTTTGCCACAGGCTGGACAGAGTGGAGGTTGCTTCATTTTGCTGACTGGACATTCTGGCCTGCTACACTAATAGCAACTAGAGGATGCATCTTGGTGATCTGGGACTTTGCGAGCCTTCAAAGCTGCTGCTAGAGACTTTGTCCTTCTCCTGAGCTTTTTTTCTTTCTTTTGGGACTCCTCCTGGTCCATATTATAAAAGACCAAAGTGGCCACCTTCAGGAGGTTTTTTAAGGTGCTATTTGGTCCTGTAGCTTTCTTTTGTAGTTTTTTTTTTTTTTTTTTAATATTGGGAGCTGCCTGTGTAATAAATTTGTCCCTCAGGATGAGCTGTTACTTAACTGGATTAGAGAATAAAAAGATATACTTTTTTAGTGCCTCTTTTAGCCTTTTTATAAAGGCTACAAGATTTTTATTTGGCTTTTGTTCCATTATAGACAGTTTAGAGTAATTGAGAGGTTTGGCCCTGGTTTTCTGTAGGCCTTTAAAAATGCATATTAAAAAGGGCTTTTTCATTCATTTGGGTCACCATGATGTTTTGAATACATGGTGTTGTCTGGAGGTGGCCATCACACTTGGCACAGGTGGTAACAAAGAGAAGACAGTAGGAATCACCATATTGAGTGAACCCAGTTTTTAATGGTTGGCATTTGCACATTAAAGCTTGCTGGCCGGGCCATTTAAGCTGTCATTTCTGTTAGAAAAGAGATGGTTCAGGGATTGTTCCTTATTACTGGAAAATTTCCACCAAGAACCTTTACCCTTACTATCTGCCTAAAACAATTTCTTAGTAACTCCTGTATTACCAGGAGGTCACTGGGGGAACAACAGCTTGGGGTAAACACTCTATGAGGCATAGCACCTGTAGGTCCCCGCATGGGCTGAGGTCGCAGGACTCATGGAGAATTCAACCTCTACCACAGAGTAGGGTACTTTGATATTAGATACGAGGGTGGGGTCTTGTCAGCTGCATCCTCCTCAGATAGAAGGAAAGTGTCTGTCCACCCAGCTTTGCATCTGACACAGCAGGGCCATGTTCTCTCCTGAGACCACAGTGGGGCCTGGTTGCACCAAGAGGGAGGCTGTCTCACGGATCTGTCCTGGAGAGAAGAAGGATGGGTGAGGAGCCGCCCCACCTTGTTCTGAGCTGAGACTTCCCCAGGCCTCTCTCTGGGACCCTCAGTATCTCTGTCTCTGTTTTCTCTGAGTTTCCCCGTCCCCGCCCAATCCATCCTCTCTCTCTCTCTGCCTCTCCCTCCCTTGAGACCCCCACCCCTCATCCCAACCATCACCACCTAGGCTCCCCTGGCAGGGCCTGTACAGAGCCTGGGTCCCTAACTGAACCCGCTGGGCTTCTCACCTGCGATCAGGATGTCCAGGGGGGTCACTGGGGGCTGACCACCTAGAGGAGAGGTTGTGTCCACTGAACATCTGTACTGGCCCCCATGGGAGATGCTCACAGGGCCTAAGGGGAAGTCATCTTGGGAGAACTTCTGGCCAGAACTCTGGGGAAGGTGATGTATCTTTTTCTTGGACAGAGAGAATATTTTGCAGCCAACATCAGAGCAACACAGGAGGGTCAACCTCTCTCCATGGGCCATGACAGGACCCTGTGGAGTCAAATGGGAGGGCTCCCTAGGCACACCTGGAGTGTGCGAGGAGCTGGGACTCAGAGGGCTGGTTCCTTCCAAGCCTCTTCTTTCACCAGGTTGCCTCCAGGTATGGTCAGAATCTAGTGAGCTGCTGGAGCTCTTGGTCTCAGGTGCTAAAGTCTGCTAAACCAGACTGGTAAACCTCCACCTGTGGCTAGAAGTCATGGGGTCTGCCAGGATCAGGGCTTGGAACTGTCCATCGGACTGTTTTTCGGGGTCCAGGAGACAGAATAGCTTGTGTTCACCTTCCACGGTCAGAATGAACCTGTCAAATCCCAGCCGTGAAGGACATAACGGTGTCACCTTACCTCCTGAGGTCAGGACAGGGCTGGGCTGAGCTGAGAGGGTGGATTTGCTGTAGAATCCTAGGACAGAAGGAAGCACCATGTTAAATGGGGCTCACACCTTCCACATCATACCCCAGGGCTGGGCTGTGAGAAGGGAGACACCCCCTGAGAGCTGAACCCCTTCCTGAATGCAGTGCCTGGGGCTGGGATCCCTGAGTGTCCTCTCATCTGTCACCACCAGTTCCAGGCGGTCACTGGGTTCTGACAAGCCTGCAGGGCTGAGAAAGTGACAGCGATATCACTGTGCATAGTGCAGAAATGCAGGGAAATAGGGGAAGAAAACATAACTCCTCCACTGACCCTGGGTCGTGGGTATTCTTTCTACCAAACAATTCTCTGCTTGGGCTTCCCTTTTTTTGTTACTATTTTCTAACAGTCTCCTCCACATCTCCCTGGATACAGCACTTGATTCATTTCTGCCTCCTCAGTGCCCCTTGTCTAGTTCTCAGAACCTTCCTCCTCCTCTTTCCATGGTCCTGCCCTGAAGCCTTAGGGACATTGGGTGGGTTAGCACTCCAACTTTGAAAGGAAAGCTAATCTTTATTTAAATAATCATCTGTCATCCACTGTCTGTGGCCAGGACTTAGCAGCAAATACATCTGGTGCCTTCCTCAGTTGGACCCTTTCCAATGAGGCTGACTGAGGGCTGAGCACACAAGTGCATGAGAAGTGCTAATAGTTCAGCCAGAGTGCAATTAGAACCTGCCCTTTCTGTAGGAGGAGGATGGAAGAATCCTTGCTCAAAAGTATATGCTCTCACTTCTTCTATTCAGCATAGTAATAGAAGTCCTAGACACAGCAATTAGGCAATAAAAATACACAAAAGCACCCAAATCAGATAAAAAGTGATATTGTCTCTGTTTGCTGACATGATTTTATATATAAAAATCTCTAAAGACTCAACCAAACAACTTTTAGAACTGATCCACGAATTTAGTAGAGTTGCAGGATACAAAATCAACATGCAGAAATTGGTAGCATCTCTATATACTAAAAACAAACTATCCAGAAAGAAATCGAAAGAAAAATTACACTTATAATAGCTAAAAAATTACTTAGAATTAAATTTAACCAAGGAGGTTTAATATCTCTGCACTAAAATCTTTATAACATTGATGAATGAAATTGAACAAGACGCATATAAATGGGAAGGTAGCTTATGTTCATGGTCTGCAAGAATTAACATTGTTAAAATGTTCGTATAACAATGAGAACACATGGACACAGGGAGGGGAACAACACACACTGGGGCTTGTAGTGGGAGGGCGGATGATGAAGGGAGGGAGAGCATCAGGAAAAAGAGCTAATGCATGCTGGGCTTAATAACTAGGTAATGGGTTGATAGGTGCAGCAAACCACCATGGCACAAGCCTACCTATGTAACAAAGCTGCAGGTCCTGTACATGTGCCCTGGAACTTTAAAAAAAAGTTCATACCTGCAGACTCAATGCAATTCCTAACAAAATTCCAAGGTCGTTTTCCACAGAAATAGAAAAACAATCCTAAAATTTGAATGGGACTACAAAAGGACCCCAAATAGCCAAAACAATCTTGAGCAAAGGGAAGAAGGGGATATCACACTATGGAATCCCCAAATATCCTACAAAGCTACAGCCAGGAAGACATCATGGAACTGGAATAGAAACAGGTACAGTGATCAGTGCAACAGGGATGAAAGCAAAGAAGGAAACACACATATTTATGGTGAATTGATCCTCAACAAAGTTTCCAAGAACAAGAGAGGGCAGTCCTTTTGAATAAATGGTCCTAGGAGAACTGAGTCTCCATGGAGTGTGGAGGTCTGGGTCCTCCCTGGGCTAGTGGATGGCCAGAGCAGTATACACACTCGGCTCAGCTGAACGTCCCCTTTCCTGGGAGGAAGAAGGCTTCATTATTTTCTGTTTGAGGGTAAGCTGTGCAGCTGGGCATAGGACACATCCTGGGGATATTCATATGAAGAAGAATGAAATTGAACCCTTATCCCATATACAAAAATGGGTGGGAGAAAAGCTTCAAGACGTTGGTCCGGGCAAGGTTTTTTTGGATATGGCCCTGAAAACACAAGCAACAAAAGCAAAAATAGACAAAAGGTGTGGCTTCTAAACAGCTTCTGCAAACAGAATGAAGAGACAACTCAGAAATGGGAGAAAATAGTTGCAAGCTGTATACCTGATAAAGGGTTAATATGCAAAAATATGTAAGGAACTAAAACAAAGCAACAGCAAGAAACCAAAAACTACTTGAAACATGGGCAAAGTAGCTGAACAGGCATTTCTCAAAAGAAGACATACAAATGGTCAGCAGCTATATGAAAAGGTGCTCAGACAAAAGCTTTGTCTATTGAGATGATAATTTTTCATTCCTTTTGTTAAAATACTGAATTACATTGATTGAGTTTTTGAAAATTAAGCTATCCTTGCTTTTCATAAACAAAATCAAAGGATAACAAAAAACCAGTGTGGTCATGATATACTGTCTATTTTATAGAGACATGAATCTTACTTGTTAATATTTGTTAAGGGATTTATATTTCTGTGAGAGATCTTCTATGACTTTCCCATTCTGTAGTTTCCTTTTCAGGTTTTGGTATCAACTTGTTCCTAGTCTGATCAAATGTATTTGTGTAAATATATACAAAATATTCTCAGGGAAAATTTATGCAAGTTTGTGTGTGTGTGTGTCTGTGTGTTTCATGAGTGCATAACAGTTTGAAAAAACCACCAACAAACCTTGCTGAAGTGGCATTTACTTTGTGGGAACATTTTTGATTACAGGATCAATGCATTTTATATATGTTTATGTATGATGATTCAGTTTTTCTATTTATCCTTATGTTCATTAAGTAAACTGTAATTTTTCGTATTTCATCTATCTCATCTACATTTTCTGTTATGTCAGCATAGAATTGCTGACAGTTTTCTTTCACCTCTGTAAAGCTGTGTGTAGGGTCTGTAGTGCTGCCTCCTATTTTGTTCCTGTATGGAAATGGATGCCTGCTCTTTTTTCATTTTTATTTTTCTCATTGTGGCCAAGATTCATGTATCATTAATGTTTTCAAGAATAAACATTTTGACTTTATTAATTTTTCTCTATTTTTTGTTTGTCCTCATTAGAAGCTCCCATTTTCCCATGTCATTGGTTTGATGTGTAATATTTACATGATCATTCAATTTAAAACATTGTCTGACTTCTGTTTTGTTTTATCAGTTAACTCATTGTGAATTGAGAGGTCTGCTACTTTATTTTGATAATGCAGGGATATTATTTATCTTTGCAGAATCAGGTGACTCCCAACGTTCCCGGAATCTTCTAGTGGTCTGTGTCAGGGGTCTGGGCTGGCTGGGGTTCAGTGATGTCTACTGGAGGCAGCTTCCATGCCTTCTGGGGTCCTGAGTCTCCATGGCTTGTGGGGTCTGGGTCCCCCCTGGATTAGTGGATGGCCAGAGTGGCATAGACACTGGGCTCAGCTGGAGAGGCCCCTTCCTGGGATGGAGGAGGCTCAGTTGCCTTCTGTCTGAGGGTAAAGCTGTGCAGCCGGGCGTAGGTCACATCCTGGGGGGCTTCAGATGCAGCAGCCTGCAGCGGGGGAGAGTGAGAGGGAAGGAACGTGGTGGGGGTGGGGGAGGCCTGGGGGCCTGGAGAGGAAAGGACTCACCTCAGTGTCCATCTGTCTGTCCTCTTCTGCCTGTCTGTCCTTTGTGTCCAGGAATTCCCCAGACAGTGGGGAGGGAGGAGAGGCCATTTCTCTCCTAGGTCTGGAGTGTTTCACCTTGGCATACGTCACTGCCTGGGGGTCTTCATCGTGTGGGCTCTGCTGGAGAGAGACAGTGGTGGGGGGTGTCCTTGAATCCTCCTGACTCCCTGGAGTCAATTTTCCCCACTGTTCCCAGGGTGATCCGATTACATCCCTTTCCTGACGGAATCTCAGGGATGCCCTAAGGCCGTGGAGGGTCTGGCCGCTCCCTCCCTGTGGTTCTGGTCTCTGCTCCTCACTCTGACCTTGCCCATTTGGCTGCAGCCTCACGCGGCCTTCCTGCAAGAGCTCGCTGCTGCCTCGGGGCCTTTGCACGGCTGTTTCCTCTGCCTGCAGGGGCTCGTCCATTAGAGGATCACGTGGCCCTCTCCGTCCAGGCTTCTCAGATGACAGCTGAGCAGACAGCCCTCCCTTTCCATTCAGACTGGCCCCACTGCCCCACACTCTCTGCCCTTTACCTGGTTTATGTTCCTTACAGCACGTTGCACTCCTGGACACGATGCATTTATTTGCATTTTGTCTCCCACCACGAGGTGAGCTCAGGAGGCGGGGGCGGCTTTGCTCCCTGCTGTGTCTGCAGCTCCCATGGGGAGCCCCATCCACAGTGAGCTCCCTGGGAACACTCACTAGATGAATGAATGAAGGGGAGCCCAGGGGACTGGAGTGGTTCATTTATTCGTCATCCTCCTGAGGCCTGGGGAGCTCTCTAACAACCAGATGGCCAAACAGAGGATGAGGAGCAGGAAGGGGACCCGGGAGGAGGCCCACGAGGTCCCAGGACAGCAGGAGAGAGTGAGGTCCCAGCAGGCAGGAGGCAGCGTGCTGGACAAGGAGGGGTCCACCGTGACGATGCTGAGAGCCGGGGGAAGGAGGACAGAGAAGTTCTGCAGGATTAGATCTGGCACCAGGAGGCCTTTGGTGCCTGGGACAGGGGCGGGTTCTCACCCGAGTGTCCATTTCCACCCCGTCCTCAGGCTGTGTGTTCTTCACGGCAGCACCTGCTGGGGTAGAGCAAGGGGTTCATCTCCTGGGAAGGTTCCCTGGGACCTCTCATTCCTGCTGGTCCCTGCCCTGTTCCCATTAGTGCCACTGCAACGCAGGGAGGGGCTGTGATGTCCCCGAGGTCCCACAATGTGGGTTCAGACCACTTCTCCCTGAGTCCCTGACCAATCCTAGCCTGTGCTCCTGCCCCCATTGCTATTGAAATTTTGGGACCCCCAGCTCCACCCCAGGTGCACCTTCTCTGCCTCTCACTCACAGAAGTTTTCTCCCTGGACGTCAGCAGCTGGGCTGGACCTGGGGGAGGATACGGGAGTGTAAGGGGACAGTGAGGTGGCTGTTGGGATGGGTGGGAGTCTGAGGTCTTTGGGCAGAATTACCTCCTCTGTAGGCCCCCGTCCTTGGGCTCTGGCTCGGCAGCCCCTGGAGGACGTTGGAAATCAGCCTGTCTCTGGGCTGGGGGAAGATGGACAGAGTCTCAGCTCTGGGAACGTTAGAACCACCTGCCTTGCACATGCAAGTCAAGAGGAAAGGAAACCTGAAAATACACTTGCAAGGATGTTTTAAATACTTTCTAAGTTTAGAAAAACCGAAAGAATAAAGCACTTCCATTACTCCCTCATTCATTTTCTTCTTTCTAGATTTTCTCACTGGGAATTTCTGGAGCAGAGTTTCTAAGATGACCTCTCCTATCTGGAGTCCCTTTGGCTGGTGCCCTGAGCCCACCCTCCATCAGCCCACGGGTCCCCCAATTTCCTACTTACCCAATGTCCTGTGTTTTCCCTGACGCCAGTGTTGGAGGAGGAGGAAGAGGAGGAGGGAGAGAAGCAGGATGGAGACCACCAAGACCCCGATCAGTACCTCCCAGTGCCTTCTCAGACCTTGGGCGTGATGACATCAGGAATGGGGATGATGTCATTGATGTGCACACCTACTGTGTGTGCACCTACTGTGTGTGCTGGGTCTTTCTTTCATTACCTCCAACCCTCACAGCAGTTGTGCAACCTGAGATTGCCACCCTCTCTCCACCCATTTCACAGATGCACAAACTGAGGCTCAGAGAGGGGAATCGCCTGCCCCAGACCCCTCCAGCCAGGAAGCGGCAGAGCTGGGAAGGAAACCCGGGAGTCTGAGCTGCAGCCCTTGTTCCTGCACCAGAGCCAAGCCCCAGAGTTGCAGGGAAAGAGCCTGACTGTCTTGAACCACCGCCCTGCTCCCCTCCCCTGCCCCAGGTCACCGTCTCTGCTGCAGGTGGGACCGGACAGGCCCCTGCGGAATCGGGTCTGGGAGGTTCCCTGGGAGGCCTCCTCTCCCAGGAGGGCACAGCTGGGAGTCAGAGCTGAAAGGAACTTTCCCACCCGCAGGCCTCTCTCCTTTACACTTGGAGAAACTGAGGCCCATGCAGGGGAGGGGCCTGTCCACATCACCACCTCCAGAGGAGCCTTAACCTAGGACAGAACCCACCCTTGGCTCCCCTAGACCCTGCCCACCTCCCACTCAGAGCCCCTCACTCACCACTGTGGGGGACTGACCCTGTAGGCATGAGGGGCTGGTCCTCAGGGCCTGCTGGGTTAGAACAGGGATGTGAGGGCTGGGGCTGCCCTGCTCCCCACATCAGCTCGGCTTCTCCCCGCAACATCTCCTTCAGCCTTGACCCCCTCACCCCTCACCAGCCCAGCCTCAGGGCCTTGGGAGCCTGTGGTGCCTCCCAAGTCGCTGCCCGACTCCCACACCCGTGGAAGCAAGCCCAGCTGAGAATTGGAACGAGGACTTAGATCCACTGAGCATGTCTTGAGACAGGCCTCGGGCTTTGGAAACTCTCTGGACAGAGGCCTCTGAGACTCACCAGCTGTTGAGACGGACCTTGTGGGTGAGGGCCTGGGACCCTCCAAGGATCCTGGGTAGAAGGACAAGAGGAGGGTGAGAGTCTGGGGTTGCCCTTGGGTCTCCACATCAAATTGAACCTCTCCCTATATCTGCCCTGCAGCTTCCCAAGGACCATTTCTCTGTCCACCTGGCACCTTCTGGACCCTAGGTGAGGGAGAAGAGCATGGGCATGCCTGGGAGGGCCCCTGTTGTCCTCCTCCCCTCTGAGGGCTGAGTCCCCCACTGGCTGAGCCCCTCTCCCTCCATCCCTGCCCAGAGCTCTCCTGGCAGCAGGGCATGAACGGAGCCACTGAGCTCAGAGAGGACAGGGTCAGGAGCCTCACCTGAGACTATGAGCTCCAGGGGGTCACTGGGGTGTGACAGCAGGTAGTGGGAGAAGCCGTGTGAGCTGAAGCACCTGTAGGTCCCCCCGTGCACTGAGGTCACAGGACTCATGGGGAATTCAGCCTGGTGCTGCTGAGCTCCGTGCTCTGATCTCAGATGCAGTAGGGGATGGGCTGCCCGCTCCTTGATCAGAAGAAAAGTGTCCATTGGGCTCCGTGACTGACACAGCAGGGTCACGCTCTTTCCTGAGGTCACAAGAGGACTCGGCAGGGCTGAAAGGGTGGGTTTACTGTAGGCTCCTAGGAGAGAAGGAGGCACCGTGTTAAATGGGGCTCCCACCTCCCACATCATCCCCAGGGCTGGGCTGTGAGAGGGAGATGCCCCTGAGAGCTGACCCCCTTCCTGAGGGCAGAGCCTGGGGCTGGGACCCCTGAGTGTCCTCTCACCTGTCATCACCAGCTCCAGGGGGTCACTGGGCTGTGACCAGCCTACAGGGCTGCGATAGTAACAGCGGTATCTCCCTGCATAGTCCTCTGTCATGGATGGGATGGAGAATCTGGCCTTGTTCTTGGGCTCCAGTGGGTTCTGTCTGTCCCAGGGTGCTGGGCTTTCCTCTTTATCCAGACGGTACTCCCGAGCCTCCAGGGTCCCCTGACACCAGATGGTCACAGAGTTCCCCCAGCTGATCACAGAGCCTGGCTCAGCCCAGAGGGTGGGTTTGGGGAGGGGCCCTGGAAGAAAATCAGAGGCTGGATCCCAAGACCTTCCTCAGCCCTCAGATCCCAGCTCTCAGCCCCAGGACCCCCCCGTCATCCTCATCAGTCACCCAGAACTGCTGTCTCCTCCCCCAGCTGCCCATGGGTGGCCCCTTGTCCCAGTGAGGAGGAGGGACCTGGGACAGCTGGGGACAGACTCACCTGCCTGCATGTGGGTCCTGGGGCCCAGACTCAGCCCTGGAAGAGAGTTCCCTGTGAGGGATTTGCCCCGGAAGCCTGAGCAGGTCCTCTCTTTACCCTGAGATTTTTTTTTTTTTTTTTTTTTGAGACGGAGTCTCGCTGTCACCCAGGCTGGAGTGCGGTGGTGCGATCTTGGCTCACTGCAAGCTCCGCCTCCCGGGTTCACGCCATTCTCCTGCCTCAGCCTCCCGAGTGGCTGGGACCACAGGCGCCTGCAACCACCCCCGGCTAATTTTTTGTATTTTTAGTAGAGACAGGGTTTCACCGTGTTAGCCAGGATGGTCTCGATCTCCTGACCTCGTGATCCGCCCGCCTCGGCCTCCCAAAGTGCTGGGATTACAGGCGTGAGCCACCGCGCCCGGCTACCCTGAGATTTTTGAGTCTCCTAAAGAACCAGGGCCTGGCTGTGAGGCAAATTTCCTCCAAGACTCGGGTCTCCCCTCCCCCTCTTTAAATCTCACCGAGGCAGAGCAGAGCCGTGAGGGTGGGGATCATGGCGTCTCCTCCCAGGGGCCCCAGCTGTGCAGATGGATGAGTCCTCAGTGCCGGCAGGACAAAGAGACACACAGGGTGTGGCCGCTTGGAGGCTGGGTCCTTCTCGTCATGGGGTTGTTCCATCAGCAGCCCACAGGAAGGGAAACTGCCCTCATTTGAACCCCAGCCTGGCTTTCATTTCCCCAGAGCTAGGGCTGAGGCAGGCACCAGGTTCTCTGCAGACATTTCAGACAGAAATGGGGTCTCTCTGATCCCAGCCTGCTGTCTGCCTGGTCTTAATTCCTCTCTTGACCAAACATCAACCCGTATGTATCGTGTGTTTGCAAAGCGCCTGACACTGGGGGTACATCATTGAACAAGTGAAAAAAAAAAAAAAACCAAAAACCTGCATTTTCAGGGTACAGATGAACCATAAAGCTTCCTTTTGCTGCCATAACAAATCACCACAAGCTTAGTGGCTTCACATAATGTAGGTTTATTGACTTACCGTCCCGGAGGTCACAAGTCCAAAATGGGTCTCCCTGGGCTAAAATGAAGCTGCTATCAGAGCCGTGTCCTCCTGGAGGCTCCAAGGAGAATCTGTTCCCTCGCCTGTTCAAGCCTCTGCAGGCTCCCGCATTCCTGCCTCTCCATTCCCTCCAACCTCAAAGCCACCAGTCCCGTTATCTGCCGCCTGCTTCCATGCACTCACCTCCTTCTCTCACTCTGACCCTCCTGCCTTCCTCTTTCACTTACTCAGCCCCTTGTGATTACATCAGGCCCACCTGGGTAATCTCCCCAACCCAAGATCCTTGACTTAATCACATCTGCAAAGTCCCTTTTGCCACATAAGCTTCCCCAACTCACAGGGTCTGGGCCTCAGGAGGTGGACATCTCTGGGAGGTCACTATTCTGCCTCCCACAGGCCTTCAGGGACTCCTTTAACCAAATCTCACATAGAGCACTTCTCTGCGATGACGGAGAGTGGCTGGGCACGCCAGTCGAATGCTTGGTGGGCCAGTACGCAGCCAGGTCATGGTCGGCTACTCATGTCCCATGGGACCTGCCCACTTGAGGCCAAACATTCCATCTCCACCAGAGCCTGGTAGACATCTAAAAACTGTGTCGCAAAACAAAACTCATTCTCTGCAGCGCTAGCACGATGTAGCTCCAAAATATATATATATATTTTTTCTTTTCTGAGATGCAGTCTCACTCTGTCGCCCAGGCTAGAGTGCTGTGGTGTGATCTCAGCTCACTGCAACCTCCGCCTCCTGGGTTCAGGAGACTCTCCTGCTTTAGCCTCCTGTGTAGCTGGGATTACAGGCACCCGCCACCACTCACAGCTAATTTTTGTATTTTTAATAGAGATGGGGTTTCACCATGTTGGCCAGGCCGGTCTCGAACTCCTGACCTCTGGTGATCCGCCCATCTCAGCCTCTCAAAGTTGCTGGGGTTACAGGCATGAGCCACCACGCCCAGCCAAGCATAGATTTTAAATGTTTTCACAGATGTTAGTATGCGGAGTGATGGACATGTTAACTGTCTTGATTCCATCATTCCACAGTGTATACATTTATAACACATTGTACCCCATAAATATATATAGTTGGTGAATTAAATATTTAGTAAAATTATTTTGAAAAGGAAAAAAGCCATAAATACATAACAAGCAAGCAAAAAGGCCAGATAGCTTCAACCCTTAGATCACTGCCTGTGTAAAACACTTCAGGTGGCCAGCTCTCAATAATCATCCATTTGAGTGGGCACGTCCTGCAATGATCTGGAATTGTAGTCTGTCCTAGATGGTGACTAACCATTTTCTGTCTCTGTTCTTCTTAAAAGGATGAGAGGACCTTCTAACTTTAGAACTGAAACATAGGGTGGGAGGGGAAAGAGGAAGCAGAAAAAACAAACCCCAAATTAATTGTATCTAACGGTCAGGAAGGCAAAGAAGGAGAGGCTTGCAGGAGGCTGAAAGTCAAAGTGCCGGGAAACGCATGAACACCACTGCCCTCAGGTTTCCAAGCACCTGCTTTTAGTACCTCATTCCGTATCCTTTTGGGTCACTCTCAGAATCACGGGACAGTATCTCATTTCGAGGATTTCCATGTGTCTCTCCACATTTGTGTGTAAGGACCTTATTGGAAGCTATTTCAGCCAAAGCTTGATGCGTCTGACAGTGGCTGGGGAAAAAGAAACTCCCAGAAATGGGGGCTAGAAAGCCATACACATATTGGCGAGTATCTCCTGTTTTGGCGGGAAGTTCTGGATGATGGTCTGCACATTATCAGAGATCCTGGTGTGGACCTGTCCATATTACCTGCTGTAGTGGTGTCCGCAATGCATGCTGATTTCAGGAATTCCTCTCCTTCTCTCTTTCATAAGGGAACCCTATTCCCTTAAACTTGGTTCCCAAATCAGTTACCTGCGCTCATATCCTTGTCTTAAGTCCTGCTTTCAGAGTAACCTGTGCTAGGCAAGGACTGGGAAATGCCAGGAGGTTTTTCGATGTCATCACCCCTTTTCTAACCGCTCAACATGCCTTGCCTTTACCAGTCCTGGACTTCTTGTATTTTGCTTCTTTTTTTTTTTTTTTTTTGTGACAGGGTGACACTCTGTCATCCAGGCTGGAGTGCAGTGGTGCAATCTTGGCTTACTGCAACCTCGGCCTCCTGGGTTCAAACAATTCTCCTAACTCAGCCTCCCGAGTAGCTGAGAGCTGAGATTACAGGCAGCTGCCACCACACCCGGCTAACTTTTGTATTTTTAGTAGAGATGGGGTTTCACCATGTTGGCCAGGCTGGTTTCGAACTCCTGACCTCAGGTGATCTGCCCGCCTTGGCCTCCCAAAGTGCTGGGATTACAGGCGTGAGCCACCGCGCCCGGCCTCATTTTGCTTTTGTATTCGTGCACTCACCACTCAGTAAATCTTATCCATCCTCACTTAAGAAACATTTAAACATGTCAACCTGTGGCCATCCCAGGACACAAGAGATAAAGGCGAGCAAAGCAGATATACTGGATTCACAGTAACCCAGACTTCATTTCAAATTACCTCCCCTCCTAGAAAATCTAGCATCCTAGCAAAAATTAAGTTGATAAAATCACTACGCAAAAAGTTTAGAGATAGGACCAGTCCCGGGAAGGAAAGATTTAACGCAATAGGACAGGATAAAAGAAATACCCACTGGGTCCTGCACTCACCACCTGGGTGCAATAGTTCCATGTAGCAAACCTGAGCATGTATCCTCGTATCTAAAATAAAAGTTGAAGTTCAAAAAATAAAGAAGAAAAACAGAAAGCAATTGAGATGGAGGGTGGTGAAGAAGCTGAAGGAGAGGTCAGATGGTGATGATGAATTGGTATTATCTGAATGAAGGGATGCCTGGAGGTGGAGAGAGAAGCATTGCAGGAGGTCCTGGTCATAGGTATTCAAACGGGTGGATCCTAAAGCCTTACAAGAAGTAAAAAGACCACAAGAGTCGTTCATTCATTTCCAAGTATATTTCACTCTAGAGTCAAGCTTTTGTGAGATACTGAAAACAGGACCTAGTTGGAATGAATCATAAATTTCCATCTTAACTTGGGGTCACGGGTGTTCTGTGATTCATAAGAACCCATGTTTCATTGTTTCGTTTTCTTTTTTTTTATTATTATACTTCAAGTTCTGGGATACATGTGCAGAACGTGCAGGTTTGTTACATAGGTATACACGTGCCATGGTATTTTGCTGCACCCATCAACCTGTTGTCTATATTAGGTATTTCTTCTAATGCTATCCCTCCCCCAGCCCCCCAGCCCGTGACAGGTGCCGGTGTGTGATTTTCCCCTCTTCGTGTCCATGTGTTCTCATTGCTCAACTCCCACCTATGAGTGAGGACACGTGATGTTTGGTTTTCTGTTCTCGTGTTAGTTTGCAGAGAATGATGGTTTTCAGCTTCATCTGTGTCCCTGCAAAGGACATGAACTCATCCTTTTTTGTGGCTGCATAGTATTCCATGGTGTATATGTGCCACATTTTCTTTATCCAGTCTATCATTGATGGGCATTTGGGTTGGCGTATTTGATTTTATCCAGGGTTCTACAGATGCCAAGGAAGGGGTGCAGCTCTACTTAAGTTTACCTCTTGGTCTCTCCTTGGGACCTCCTCTGACTGTGCCATGCCTGAAACACCAACCCCTCTGTCACCACCAGGATCAATTGCAACTGCTCCATGCACATGAGACTACTGCATAGTCTGGGAGCAGTTGGCCTGGGGACAGTGGGATTGGAAGACCATGGAGGGTAGGAGAGCTCGCAGTCCACACAGCAGCCAGAAGGGAGGATATTTCAACATTCTCAAATCAATAGATATGATATCTCATGTCAACAGAAGGAAGAACAAAAAACATATAATCATGGGCAGGCGCGGTGGTTCATGCCTGCAATCCCAGCACTTTGGGAGATTGAGATGGGTGGATCACTTGAGGTCAGGAGATCGAGATCAGCCTGGCCAACATGATGAAACCCCATCTCTCTCAAAAATGCAAAATATTAACTGGGTGTGGTGGTGTGCACCGGTAGTCCAGCTACTCGGGAGGCTGAGACAGGAGAATCTCTTGAACCCAGGAGGTGGAAGTTGCAGTGAGCCAAGATCGCGCCACTGCACTCCTGCCTGGGTGAAGGAGAGACCCTCTGTCTAAAAAAAAAAAAAAAAATTATATGATCATCACAATAGATGTTAAAAAAACATTTGACAAAATTCAACATCCCTTCATCATTAAAACTATCAACAAATTAGGCCTAGAAGAAACACACCTCAACAAAAAATCCCCAGATAATTCCATTAACAAGTATGCAAAGCATCTGAATAGTTGCTTCTCAAAAGAAAATGTACAGATGGCCAACAGCTATATAAAACACTAATCATCGGCCAAGCGCGGTGGCTCACACCTGTAATCCCAGCACTTTGGGAGGCCAAAGCAGGTGGATCACTTGAACCCAGGAGTTTGAGACCAGCCTGGGCAACATGGTGAAACCTCATCTCTACCAAAAATACAAAAAAAGAAAAAAAAACAGCTGGGCGTGGTGGCATACACCTGTAGTCCCATCTACTGAGGAGGCTGAGGCAGGAGGCTCACTTGAACCCAGTAGGCAGAGGTTGCAGTGAGCCAAGATCACACTACTGCACTCCAATCTGGGTGACAGAGCGAGACTTCATCTCAAAACACAAACAAACAAACAAAAACCCACAATCATCACTGGCATCAAATCGAAACTACAATGAGTATCATCTTATTTCAGTTAAAATGTCTATTATCAAAGAAACATATAAAAACATGCTGGGCTGGGCACAGTGGTTCACGCCTGTAATCTCAGCACTTTGGGAGGCCGAGGCAGGCGGATCACGAGGTCAGGAGTTTGAGACCAGCCTGGCCAACATGTTGAAACCCCGTCTCTACTAAAAAGACAAAAATTAGCCGGGCGTGGTGGCGCCCGCCTGTAATCAGGAGGCTCCTGCTACTCGGGAGGCTGAGGGAAGAGAATCGCTTGCACCCAGGAGCTGGAGGTTGCAGTGAGCTGAGATGGCACCACTGCACTCCAGCCTGGGCGACAGAGTGAGACTCCATCTAAACAAACAAACAAATAAATAAATAGATCAATAAAATAAAATAAAAACATGCTGGTGAGGATGTGCTGACAAAATAACTCTTAGACACTGTTGGTGGGAATATAAATTAGTACAGCCATTATGGAAAACATGGAGATTCCGGCCGGGCGCGGTGGCTCACACCTGTAATCCCAGCACTTTGGGAGGCCGAGGCGGGCGGATCACGAGGTCAGGAGATCAAGACCATCCTGGCCAACAGGGTGAAACCCTGTCTCTACTAAAAATACAAAAAATTAGCCAGGCGAGGTGGCAGGCACCTGTAGTCCCAGCTACTCGGGAGGCTGAGGCAGGAGAATGGTGTGAACCCCGAGGGGCAGAGCCTACAGTGAGCCGAGATCACGCCACTGCACTCCAGCCTGGGCGACAGTGAGACTCTGTCTCAAAAAAAGAAAAAAAAAAAAAAACACGGAGATTCCTCAAGATACTGAAACTGCAATTATCGTAAAATCCAGTGAGTTCACTACTGAATATTCATGCAAAGGAAAAAAATCTCAGGACATCACAAGAGTCCCTGCACCCGTGTGTTTATTGCAGCACTCTTCACAAGTCAGCATACGGAATCAACCTAAGTGTCCATCAGTGGATAAAAGGGTAAAGAAAATGTGGTATGTATACACAATGGAAGAGGGGTCATCCATAAAAAAGAATGAAATCCTGACATTTACAGCAACATAGTTGGAACTGGAGGTCATTATGGTCAGTGAAATAAGCCAGGAACAGAAAGACAAATCTCGAATGTTCTCACTCATACGTGGGAGCTAAAGAAGTGGATTCCTAAACAGAGAGAGTAGACTGGTTGGCCAGGTGTGGTGGCTTGTGCCTGTAATCCCAGTGATTTGGGAGGCCAAGGCAGGTGGTTCACTTGAGGTCAGGAGTTCCAGACCAGCCTGGCCAATGTGGCAAAACCCCTTCTCTACGAAACATACAAAAATTAGTTGGGCGTGGTGGTGTGCACTGTGGTCCTAGCTACTCGGGAGTCTGAGGCAGGAGGATCGCTTGAGCCCTGGAGGGTTGAGGCTGCAGTGAGCCATGATTGTGTCACTGCATTCCAGCTTGGGCAACAGAGCAATACCTTGTCTCAAAAGAAAAAAAAAAGGCCGGGCGTGGTGGCTCATGCCTGTAATCCCAGCACTTTGGGAGGCTGAGGCGGGTGGATCACTTGAGGTCAAGAGTTCGAGACCATCCTGGCCAACATGGTGAAACCCTGTCTTTAGCCTGGCGTGGTGGCATGCATCTGTAATCCCAGCTACTCAGGAGGCTGAGGCAGGCGAATCTCTTGAACCCAGGAGGCAAAGGTTGCAGTGAGCCAAGATCACGCCACTGCATTCCATCCTGGGTGACACAGCAAGACTCTGTCTCAAAAAAAAAAAATGTGTAGACTGGTGGTTACTAGAGCTGGAAAGGGTGGGAGATAAGGAGATGTTAGTTACGGAGTATAGAAATACAGCTGGATAGGAGAAATAACTGAGTATTTGACAGTACAGTAGGGGAAGTATAGTTAACAATAATATATTGTGTATTTCAAAACAACTAGAATAAAAGAATTGTAATGCTCCCCAACAAAAAGAAAAGATAAATATTTGAGGTGATGGATATTCTAATTACCCTGATTTTATTATTACCCATTGCATACAAGTATCAAAATATCATAAGTACCCCAAACCTATATACAACTATTATATATGGATAAAAATAAATAAATGGAACTCTGGCACCAACTTTAAGGCATAACGTGTACAAATCCAGGGGATCTATTTAGGGCACTGGTTGTCCTGAGTGTGCTAATTTGATTGTGGCAATCATTACACAATGTATACGTATATCAAATCATCATGTTGTACACCTCAATATATACAATCTTGGTTGATTAAATCATTTTAAGGATAAAAAAGGATTTTTTAAAAAGATAAAAAGGAAAACACTGAACTTCTCTGTGGCTCTCCTTTTTCCCTGCTCAGCTTTGAATAACTGTGAAGGCAAAGACTGGATGCAGGTGACCTGTGCACCCTAGGACCTGGCGTGGGATTGCCAGACTTTAGGTCTTTAGGATTATTTGTTGATGTACAAAGGAAAGCATGGCCCAGAGAACTGGGCTCTGCTCTCAGTTGCATAAATATGGCCCATTCTTAAGGTCAGCAATTAAGCTCCAGGAAGATCCCTAGAGTCAGCTGAACAGAAAATTACAACAAAGTCTCTGGGGCAATTGGGGATTTCCAGGAGACATAGGAGCAGCTGGGGACTGCGTCAGTGATAATGAAATCAGCTGGGTGGATGTAGCCGGGTCTCTAGAAACAGCCAGCGGATGTAGCCGGGTCTCTGGAAACAGTCAGGTGGATGTAGCCGGGTCTCTGGAAACAGCCAGGTGGATGTAGCCGGGTCTCTGGAAACAGCCAGGTGGATGTAGCCGGGTCTCTAGAAACAGCTAGGTGCATGTAGCTGGGTCTCTGCAAACAGGCAGGCAGCTATGGGGGATTGGGGGTGGTCACTGGAAACAGCTAGATGACTGTAGCTGACTCTTTAGTAACAGCCGAATGTAACTAGGTCTCTGGAAAGTCACCTTGAGGACTGAGCTGGGAGATGGGAGGTGCCTCGTGGGAGCTTATGTCATGGGTAGAGGAGCACAGTTTATTGCCTGGCAGGGCGTACGTGTGGGAATAGATTCCCCGGCCTCTCTCTCCTCTCACCCTCTGCTCTCCTGACAGTGCCTCCCATGGCTGAACTCAACCAGACACTAGACACAAGAAGATGTTGGTGATGCAATCCATAGAGTCAGCCTCCAGGGCAGAGACAAGGTGGGAAAGGACAGAGGGTGTATTAGGAGAGGCCAGAACTTCCAGTGGGAACTGCTGCCACTGAACCGAGAAACCTAAATGTAAGGGGAGTAGTTGGATCCTAGAGTGGCAGGACTCAAGTGTCAGAAGTCAGTCGACAAAGGTGAGAATCTGGTGTGTTGAATTGGGTGTGGTTATCATAGAACTGGGTGTGGTGATCATAATGGAAAGCAGAATCAAGGCAGTAATCAGAATAGACTGTCTCATGCAGCCCTTTAGTGTTGTCTAGTTGACCGCAGCGTTCTAAGACGTGAAATAGATAGGAAACTTACTTCATTCTTACTTGATTTGTATAAGCAGAACATTTCTTGGCAAAGAGAACAAGAATCTAATTAAAATCATAAAATAGACAGTTACAGTCTCTTAATCAATTACTAGAATTTCACCAGTTTATAGACCCAGAACCCCTTGAATTAAAGGGAAGACCAGGTATCCTTGAAGGCGCTGCCCCGGTATATACTATAAAAAGTTAAACAATTATATTTATCTCAGCTTCCCTTAAATGGACCTATGGCCTTTATCATGGTAGCTGTGTACTGGGTAAAGGAAATGATCAGATATTTTGGGTGCAACTAGACACTGGCTCTGAGCTAACACTAACTTCAGAAGACCCAAAACATCATGGTGACCCTCCAGTCAGATTAGAAGCTTATGGAGGTCAGGTAGTCAATGAACCTTTAGCTCAGATTTGTCTCCTGTTGAATTTTCTTGGCCACCAAATGCATCCTGTGGCTTTATTCCTTGCTCTGGAATGTATAATTGGATTAGACATACTCAACAACTATCAAAATCCCCACAAGTGGGGAAAAAATAGGACAAGCTGTGGGGCATATGTAAGACTAGTGAATGTGTTGATGTTTGCATAGTATTCAACTAGTAATTGCTCCATAGGATAAGCTGATTGAGTTATTGTTGAGTTTTTTAAAAAATATTCTTTTTCTTGTATAAAACGACATTTAAAAATCCACTCTGTTACAAGTATGCAGGTTTCTTTTCTGTTATTTTATTACGATATTTTAATTGAAAAATAATAATTGTATATATTTATTGGGTACCATGAGATGCTTTGATATATGTTTACCTTTGCAATCCGGCCAAAGGCATGCCCATGGTAAGTGTGTTATTGTTTATTTTAAATGTGCACAAAAATTAATTCAAATGAGGTACTGTCTCCCCCTAGTGGTTCTCAAGTAATTTTCCGTTTTAATCTGAATAGGGAGAGCATCTAACTTTCTAAGAGGGGTGGAGACAACCAAGTCCCAGCGCACAGAGGATTCAGAGGTCTCCTGACATGTGTGAGTGCGTTCAGGTTTGTGCATGTGTGTGCATGTGTGAATGTGTGAGTACATGTGCATATGTGTGTAAGTGCATAAGTGGGATTAGCTCTCTGTCTTCACCCATCCATGCATCCGCTCAGACACCTTAATTGATCCCTGATCATATGCTCCATCTTGGAGGCCTAAGATGAGCAAGTTCAGGGGATCTTATGTACAGCGTAGCTGGTGATGGATGCGCTGATTCATTTGACCGTGGCTATTATTTCACAATGTATATGTATATCAAATTATCACCTTGTGCATCTTGAATATATGCAATCACTGCCAATGAAATCCTTAAAAAAATACTGACACCTCCTTTGTAGCTCTTGTTAACCCCATGTAACCTTGAACAACATGAAGGCAGAGATTGGGTCCAAGTGATCTATACACCCCAGAACATGACACAGGACTGCCAGATGTGAGGTCTTTAAACTATTCATTGGTGCATGAAGTAAAGCATGACCCAGAGGACTGGTCTCAGCTCTCAGATCCATATGTATAGCTCATTCTCAAGGTCAACAACTAAACTCTAGGAGAATGTTCAGGATCAGCTGAGTAGACGATTGCTGGGGCAGCTGGGGGGATTTACAGAAGACATTTGGAAACTGCAGGGGGATGCAACATTGTTAATGGAATCAGCTGGGATGGCTATAGCTGAGACTCAGCAAACAGCCAGGAGACTGGAGCTGGGTGTCTTGAAACAGAGAAGTGACAGCAGCTGGATCACTGGAAACAACCAGGTGACTGGAACTAGGTGTCTGGAAACAGCCAGGTGATTGCAGCTGGGTTTCTAGAAGTAGCTGCAATGCCACCTCTTTGAGGTGCTGGTCAGTTGTGGAAGGAATCACCTGGTTAATGAACTTTCTAGATGCTGACTAGAGAACTTTGGGCTCTACCTCTTATCTCCAGAACAGTTGACTGGTTTTGCAGACCAGGATGATTCCAAGGGGAAGCCCTCCAGATGGCTTCTTGAGGCTTTTCCAAGCATGACTTCCTCAGGCGCAGGGGGCAGTGGTCCCGGAGTCAGTGCCTGGCGAGGGCTGTGTACATGCTAGACTCAGCCATGGGCACCATGGACTCTGGGGACACAGCCTGGGCTGTCCTCCAAGTGAAGGCCTGGTGGTCCAGCTGAGCATATGTCACCTCCAGGGGTCCCCTGCAGCAGGGGTCTGAGGACAGAGACCCGCGGTGAGGTAGGGGAGATGAGGGTGAGGGTAGGGGGTCTAGAGGGTGGCCCATTGGAGGTGAGAAGAAAATATTTGCTCAATATTACTATAATCTGCACTTATTTATGGTTTAAAAAATCTTAATGAATTAGGAATAGAATGAAACATCATAAACATGTTAAAGGATGCCCAGCAACAAATCAATAGCAAATATTATATTTAATGATGAAGCTTAGATCAATTTCCACTAAAATATGAACAAAACGAGGCTTAATGGTCTTTCCACTTTTATTCCATTTTCTACTGAGGTGTCCTAACTGATGTAATAATATCAGTAAAAGTAAAAAACTAAAAATAAGATATATGAGGGCTAGAGAGATTTTTTCATTACTTGTAGGTAGTAAGATTCTCTAAATAGAAAATTCAAAGTCCATTAGGATTTATAAGAAAATAAAAACAAATCCATATCAATGACATTTCTATACAGCAGGGGTAGTAGTTAGAGAATCGAATGGCCCCAAACTCCTGGCCTCAAGCAATCCTCCCACCTTGGCTTCTCAAAGAGCTAGGACTAACAGTCGCCGTGGAGAGCAGTTTGAGGATATCTCAAATAACTAGGAATGGAACTACCATTTGACCCAGGAGTCCTATTACTGGGTATATATCCAGGGAAAATAAATCATTCTAGTCAAGAACACACACACTTGGATGATCATTGCAGCACTATTGACAATAGAAAAGACATGGAATCAACCTCGTTGCCCATCAACAGTGAACCAAATAAAGAAAATGTGGTCCATATACACCATGGAAGACTACACAGCCATAAAAAAGAATGAACTCATGTCCTTTGCAGCAACATGGATGCAGCTGGAGGCCATTATCTTACGTAAACTAATGTAGAAACTGAACACCAAATACCACATATTCTCACTTATAAGTGGGAGCTAAATATTAGGTACACATCTTCCCATAAAGATGGCAACAGTAGACGCTGGGGACCACTGAGGGTGGAGAGGAGGGGGATGGGGCTGAAAAACTACCTGTTGGGTACCATGCTCCCTACCTGGGTGAGGGGCTCAGTCTTACTCCAAACCTCAATGCCACACAATATTCCTTGGTAACAAACCTACACATGTACCCCCAATTCTAAAATAAAAATGGAAATAGAAAAAGCAGTGTATAGGCCGGGCGCGGTGGCTCACGCCTGTAATCCCAGCACTTTGGGAGGCCCAGGCGGGTGGATCACAAGGTCAGGAGATCAAAACCATCCTGGCTAACATGGTGAAACCCTGTCTCTACTAAAAATACAAAAAATTAGCCGGGCGCCTGTAATCCCAGCTACTTTGGAGGCTGAGGCAGGAGAATGGCGTGAACCCGGGAGGCAGAGCTTGCAGTGAGCTGAGATGGTGCCACTGCCCTCCAGCCTGGTGACAGAGTGAGACTCCGTCAAAAAAAAAAAAAAAAAAAAGAAAAGAAAAAAGAAAAAGAAGTGTATAAAGGTGTGGGCAAATGAGAGGGATGAAGCACCCCAGGAAGCCACTGCCACTCCCAGGATGGGAGGTCAAGGGGTGGAGAGAGCCCTGTGTGGGAGATGGGAGGTGCCTTGCGGGAGCTGATGTCATGGGTAGAGGAGCACAGTTGCTGACAAACCACAGCCTGGCAGGGCATATGTGTGGGAATTGATTCCCCGGCCTCTCTCTCCTCTCACCCTCTGCTCTCCTGACAGTGCCTCCATGGTTGAACTCAATCAGACGCTAAAGGCAAGGAGACACTGATGATGCAATCCATAGAGTCAGCCTCCAGGGCACAGACAAGGTGGGAAAGGACAGAGGGTGTATTAGGAGTTCAGCACTTTGGGAGGCTGAGGTGGGAGGATTACGAGGTTAGGAGTTCGAGACCAGCCTGGCCAACACAGTGAAACCCTGTCTCTAAAAAAAATACAAAAAATTATCTGGGTGTGGTGGTGTATACCTGTAATCCCAGCTACTCAGGAGGCTGAGGCAGGAGAATCACTTGAACCTGGGAGGTGGAGGTTGCAGTGAGCCGAGATCGTGCCATTGCACTCCAGCCTAGGTGACAGAGTAAGACTCTGTCTCAAGAAAAAAAAAAAAAAAGGAGTGGCCTGTGGGGAAACAGCAGTGCCCTCAATGTGGGGACAAAGCATCAGGAGAGACTGGGACTGCACGTCTGAGCCAGGGAGGACAACAGAGCAAATCACAGGCAAAGAGAGAAGAAGCCCAGCTGGGCCAGAGTGCATGGAAATAAGAGAGGAGGGGACACACGTGAGCAGTGCTAAGAAGGCAGAACACATGGTTGGACCTGATTAATGTTGATTGTGGGGTGAAAGAGAGAGAGAAGTGATAATGGTTCTTAAAGCTCTGGCTTGGCTAACTTAGTGCACTTTTTATCTGTTAGCTCCTCTCTTTTGTGTGTTTTTACTACTCTTTCTCATTTTAAATTATAGTAAAAAAAAAAACAAATGAAATAAAATTTACCATATTTACTCTTTCTAACTCTACAGTGCAGTATTGTGAAGTGGTTTGACATTGCTATGCAACCATCGCCATCACCATCCCCAAAGTATTTTATCTTTCCAATTGAAGCTTTATATTCAGTAAACACCAACTCTCAGTTTCCAGGCCCCCAAGCCTCTGTTAACCGTGATTCTACTTCCTGAGTCTGTGAGTTTGACAGGTAGCTCATATAGATAGAATCTTAGCAATATTTGCAATATTTGTCCTTTATGAGACTGGCTTATTTCACTTAGCATAATATCTTCAAGGCTCTCCATATTATAGTGTATGTCAGTCACAATTTCATTTCTTTGAGAGACTGAACAGTATTTCCTAGTTTCTATAACATTTGTTTATCCATTTATCCATCTTTGGGTTTTTTCTACTTTTTTGTTAATGTGAATAACGCTGTTATGAACATGAGTATATGAGCATCCTTTTAAATCCTTGCTTTAATTTTCCCAGAAATTGCCGGGTCATATGGTAATTCTGTGTTTAATCTTCTGAGGAACTGACATACATCTGGGTAATTTTTACACTGCGTTCATTTTTTGAGAGCCTAAGAAGCAATATGAGGCTATGGTTATTATCATTTTTATTCAATACTGAGTCCCAAAGTCCTTGCGTATTAACTGGCATAATGTATGATCCAACAGATATTGTGGGGAGAAGTGATTAAATAAAGGACGCAATTGTCTAGAGGGAACTTAGAGCCCAGAGACCACACTTGGAGCATTTGTCTTCCTTGTCCAGCAGACAGTGCAGAACTGTGAGACGCGGGCATCACTGACAATGAACCCAAAGGGGCTGAATGTCGGGAATCCTGCAGACACCAGGAAAGAGATGCTTCTCAGCCAATGGCTTGGGTTCTGAATCCAGGTTACCCACAGTGATAAAATACCAGCTAGACCATGAGAGGAGACAAACATGCTCACCAGGACGAGGATGGTGTGTGTGGCTCTAGTTTCATGAGATTTTCAGGGGGAGAGGCCGTGGCTGCGAATGCATTGGACTGTCTGCTTGTGTCTATATAAGAAGAGGATCATGGAGCTGCTGGTGTAGTCCATGAGGGCCAAAGACATACCATCCACAAGGGAGAAAATGACTGCATTTGCTAAGAATAGCAATCATCCTAGAATGGGTGAGGAGAGTACCTATACATTTATTCCATACTCACGTTTTTGCTCTTCATTGGGCCAGTTACATGCATTGCAATATGGGTATATGCCACAATTTGCAAGATCCAGCAGAGGGGGCAGCAGAAAACAATGCACTTTGTGGACCTAATTCGGAGTTCCATCCTCCTAGAGATACTGAGGTTGAAGCTTCATGGCCTGGAAGCCACTGGGGAGACAGGCGGTGCTGAGGGAAACCCCTCTGGCCACTCTGTGTATAGATAGAAGACAAGTTTCATCCAGCCTCGTCCAGGAAGGATTTCATTCCAAAAGCTGCCATTGTCTGGGGGATTCGTTTAGAGAAAAGAACCAGGTTGTTGGCTAAGACCAGCTGGCTGAGAATCAGGTCTCTGGGTCTCAATATCTGTGAAGTGATAAAAGTAAAGCTAAAAAAGTAAAGGAGTGAAGAATTTCCAAGGATTCCAGCAGCGGTCTGAGTGAGAAAGACAATACCCTGATTTAAGTTAACAGAAACCGATCCATCCATTATAGAAACGGTATCACATTTCCTCAAAATGTTAAAAATTGAACTATAAGACACCAGATTTCAACTTCCGGATAATTATCCAAAAGAACTCAAATCAAGATCTTGAAGAGATATATCCACACTGATGAATTCACTGCACCAGTATTCACAATAGCCGAGGTAAATAAATGACATAAATGCCCATTGATGGAGGAATGGATTAAGATAACATAGTATAATAAATATAAAGTTTTATTCAGTCTTGAAAAAGAAGAAAATCAGATCATTTGTGATAGCAGGATTGGACCCAAATGACATTATGCTAAGTGAAATGAATCCAACTCTTAATAGATAAATATCTTATAATCTCACATAATTGTGGAATCTAAATAGTGAAATTCATAGAAGCTGAGAGTAGAATGGTGGTTAGCAGGGGCTGGAAATGGGAAAAATAAGATGTTGGTCAAAGGATACAAAGTTTCAATTCTCCGAAATGAATAATTCTGGAAAGCTAATGTATGGAATGAAAGCTATAGGTAACAATACTGTATTGTACACTTAAAATTAGCTGAGAGTAGATCCTAAGTATTTTCACTGCACACACACATGCACACAGAAATAATAACTAACTGAGGTGATTAATATATGGTATTTCTAGTTCTAGATCCCTGAGGAATCACCACATTGACTTCCACAATGGTTGAACTATATTGTGGCACTATTCACAATAGCAAACACTTGGAACCAAGCCAAATGTCCAACGATGATAGACTGGATTAAGAAAATGTGGCACATATACACCATGGAATACTATGCAGCCATAAAAAATGATGAGTTCATGTCCTTTGTAGGGACATGGATGAAATTGGAAACCATCATTCTCAGCAAACTATTGCAAGGACGAAAAACCAAACACCGCATGTTCTCACTCATAGGTGGGAATTGAACAATGAGAACACATGGACACAGGAAGGGGAACATCACACACCGGGGCCTGTTGTGGGGTGGCGGGTGGGGAGGGATAGCTTTAGGAGATATACCTAACGTTAAATGACGAGATAATGGGTGCAGCACACCAACATGGCACATGTATACATATGTAACTAACCTGCACATTGTGCACATGTACCCTAAAACTTAAAGTATAATTAAAAAACAAACAAACAAACAAAAAAAACAACTCCGAGACCTGAGCAGGCAGACACACAAGCAGCTGGACGTCCGCAGATCAGCGGAAGAAGAAGACACTGGCGGCTGAGAGGAGCACGTCAGTGCAGGAACACACAGATGGCTGGATGTCGAGAGGAACGCAAGGACGGGCACCAGCACACCACAGGCCACCGACTGGCAGAACGACATGGAGCTTGGCTGGGACAGTCAGAGAGGATCCCGGGCCGCCAGGGGCCCGACTCCAGGAGAAAACCATCGCCCTTCTGCTGAGAGCTGTTTCCACTCAATCAAACCTTGCACTCATTCTCCAAGCCCTCATGTGATCCGGTTCTTCCGGTACACCAAGGCGAGAACCCTGGGATACAGAGAGCCGTCTGTCCTTGCAGGAAGGCAGGGGTCTAATGGAGCTGATACACACAAGTTGCCTATGGAAGGCCGAAACTAAAAGAGCACCCTGTAACATGCGCCCACTGGGGCTTCAGCGGTTGTCATTTTGAATGTGGTGAATTTATTTTTATCTATTTATTTATTTTTAAGTTTCAGTAGTTTTGGGGGAACAGGTGGTGTTTGGTTGCATGCATAAGTTCTTTAGTGGTGATTTTTGAGATTTTGGAACACCCATCACCCGAGCAGTGTACACTGTACCCAATGCGTAGTCTTTTATCCCTCACCCCCTCCCATTGCTCCCCCTGGGTCCCCAGAGTCCATTATATCCTTCTTATGCCTTTACATCCTCATAGCTTAGCTCCCACTTATGAGAACATATGATGATGGTTTTCCATTCCTGAGTTATTTCACTTAGAATAGTGGTCTCCAACTGCCTCCAGGTTGCTGCGAATGCCATTATTTTGTTCCTTTTTATGACTGAAGTATTCCATGGTGTGTGTGTGTGTGTGTGTGTGTGTGTGTGTGTGTATATATATGTATATATACGCATATATACATGTTTTTTATATGTTTGTTGGCCATTTGTATATCTTCTTTAGAGAATTGTCTAAAGTCAAAAGGGGAATTGGATTTGGAGGGAACAATTTTATGGCTATTTTTCAGTATAATCATCAAGTGAAGATAGTGTCTGTTCGGCCAGTGTTACTTTAATCCATTACCTGTAGCCAGGAAGGGAGATGTTTATCACAGAGATAGGCACCAACCTGGAATGCTTTCCTCAAAAGTGATTAACTGTAGTGTGAACCCTAAATTTCACCGCAGTTTGGTCCTGATTTGGCACAAGATATGCTTTATCCACTGATGTGAAATGCCCAGGTGTTTTTTGTACGGTTTTGTTGCTGAAAGACACAATACCCTCTAATCTAAGGCATCCTCTCCAAATCCCACTGAACAATACCCTCTAATCTAAGGTGTCCTCTCCTAATCCCACTGAACAATACCTCTAATCTAAGGCGTCCTCTCCAAATCCCACTGAACAATATCCTCTAATCTAAGGCATCCTCTCCAAATCCCACTGAACAATATCCTCTAATCTAAGGCATCCTCTCCAAATCCCACTGAACAATACCCTCTAATCTAAGGCATCCTCTCCAAATCCCACTGAACAATATCCTCTAATCTAAGGCATCCTCTCCAAATCCCACTGAACAATATCCTCTAATCTAAGGCATCCTCTCCAAATCCCACTGAACAATACCCTCTAATCTAAGGCATCCTCTCCAAATCCCACTGAACAATACCCTCTAATCTAAGGCATCCTCTCCAAATCCCACTGAACAATATCCTCTAATCTAAGGCATCCTCTCCAAATCCCACTGAACAATACCCTCTAATCTAAGGCATCCTCTCCAAATCCCACTGAACAATATCCTCTAATCTAAGGCATCCTCTCCAAATCCCACTGAACAATACCCTCTAATCTAAGGCATCCTCTCCAAATCCCACTGAACAATACCTTCTAATCTAAGGCATCCTCTCCAAATCCCACTGAACAATATCCTCTAATCTAAGGCATCCTCTCCAAATCCCACTGAACAATACCCTCTAATCTAAGGCATCCTCTCCAAATCCCACTGAACAATACCCTCTAATCTAAGGCATCTTTTCCAAATCCCACTGAACAATACTCTCTAATCTAAGGCATCCTCTCCAAATCCCACTGAACAATACCCTCTAATCTAAGGCATCCTCTCCAAATCCCACTGAGGCACAGGAGCGACACTAAGGAGGGGGTCACGGAGCTTCCTGAGGGAGATTCGCCTCCTGAACCCTGGGCAGATCCTCCCCACCTTGGGATCTCTGTGAACCTCTGGGGTCTTCTATTCAATCAGGACCAAGTTGTGAGGTGGGATTCCTTCCAGGCTACAGTCTCCCCTCTCCCTCTTTCAATTTCATCAAGACAGATCAGAGGTTTGCGGGTGGAAGTCATGGCATCTCCTCCACAGCCCCTGGCTGTGCAGATGGACGAGACCACAGTTCCTGGATGGAGTAAATCTACTGGGAGCCTGGGTTCTCCATCACGAGGTTGTCCCGTCATCAGCCCCACAAGAAGGGGAACTGCCCTCTCCAGGAGCCTGGCTTTCATTTCCCCAAGGCTGGGACTGGGGCAGGCACCAGGCTGTCTTCAGATATTTCATACAGAAATGGTATCTCCCTGACCCTTTTCTGCGATTTGCCTCATCTGTCCTCATCTCATCAAGGGTCAGGACACAGGACACAGCACCTTTCTGAGTCTGTCCTGTCCAAGTGAGAGTGACTGGGGGCTTTTTCTTCTTCTCAGAGCCTCCCCGTGGGGTCTCCTTCCCTCCTTCAGCCCGTCCATCAACACAGCATTGCGGGATCCTTACCATGGCATCCAGCCCTGGAGATGCTTCAGGAAAGTTGCAGGTCCATGCTGCAGGACAGGCTCAGATCAGCAGAGACGCATCTCACATCGGGCTGTGAAATTCAAGTTGAGCTGCAATTGGCAATGAGAAAAAAAGGAGAAATAAAGAAATGCTGACTCTTCTTTTGTCTTTGGAGTATGGGTTTTATTTCTTCCAGTTTCCTTCTTAGACTTCCCTTCTTTTTTTCTTCCTATTTTTTAATAGCGTTCAGCTCCCCTTCCCTTAAAAGTAACCTCTGAGTCATTCCTGCCTCCTCGGGGTCCCTCCCACCCCCAGCCCCGCTTCCTTGGGCATTCCCCTGCATCTCAGTCTGCCTTCAAGGTTTTGGGAACAAGTACTTGTCTTGAGCTCTGATTTGGCGGTGGGATAGGGAGTTAATTTTTTCTGAATTGCTCACCTTCATCCCTGCGTGCATGACCTTGGGCAGTAAGTCCCATCTCTGAGCCTCGGTTTCCTCATTTGGAGCCTGTTGTCATGAACCCCCCTCCTGAGTGGTTTTGGGGGCCAGTGGTGCCTGGGTCATGGGAGGGCCTCAGTCATGGTACATTTCCAGACCGGGTTAAGTCTTGAGGGGCTGAAACATGAGTGGATCCTGGTGTTGGACTGCACAGTCACGGTGAGCAACTTAAATGCTCAACAGCCCACATCTGCTCCTAACATTGGGAAAACCTACTTATAATGTGTCTGAAATATGTAGCCATGGTCCGATGAAGAAAATGAGAAATGAGACTTCCTGTCATAGGCAGGAAACCTTAAGAAGCAGAAGAGGCCAGAGCCGAGCGGCTGCTGGTGACTTGCAAAGTCTGGGGGTCACTAAGGGGGAGGTTTCTGCCTCTGTATGAGACAGAGGAGAACCCCAGGCCCTCACAGACAGGGAGGGGTCGGGGTTTTGGATGAAAGTGAGAAGTTGTGGCTCCTTCTCCCCTGTGTTTGTGGATGGCACTGGGATATCTCTGCTCATTGACTCAGGTCCATGGTCAGCCCTGAGCCGCCTCCTCCATGTGTGTGAAACAGATTCACTGCAGCGTTGTCACACATGGGCGTCTGTCCCACATGCGAGTCTGAGGCTCACACTGGACCTTCCCTGCTGGTTACAGCCCTGAGTAGACTCATGTGGCACTGGCAGCTGGAACCATCTCCCCTTTTCCAGCCTTAACTCCCAGCACAGCCCTGGTGGAAACCCTCTCTGGAAGATGAGGCATGTGGGAAGCATGTGTCCAAAAATGACAAGGAGGAGGAATTATCCCAATGATCAAAAGTGCTATGATAGGCCGGGCACCGTGGCTCATGCCTGCAGTCCCAGCACTTTGGGAGGTCAAGGCGGGCGGGTCACTTGGGCCCAGGAGTTCAAGACCAGCCTGGGCAACATGGCAAAACCGCATCTCTACAAAAAATACAAAAATTAGCTGGATGTGGTGTCATGAATAATGGCCTCCAGCTCATCCAGGTTGCTGCAAAACTCAATCCCTTGTACATCAGTTGCAAAAATTAAAAATATCTAAGTATATACCTAGCCGAGGAGGTGAAAGATCTCTACAAGAAGAACAACAAAATGCTGCTGAAAGAAATTGTAGATGACACAGCAAAATAGAAATATATCCCATGCTCATGGATTGGAAGAATCAATATTGTGAAAATGATCACACTTCCCAAAGCAATATTTAGATTCAATGCAATTCCCATCAAAATATCAACATCATTTTTTTCACAGAATTAGAAAAAACAATCCTAAAATTCATATGGAACCAAAAAGAGGACGAATACCAAAGCAATCTTAAGCAAAAAGACAAATGTAAATTTAATAAACATATCCTAGGCTGAATTGTGAGGGGTTGTTTTTGCTTTTGTTTTTGTTTTTGTGTGAGACAGAGTCTTGCTCTGTCACTCAGGCTGGAGTGTAGTGGCACAATCTCTGCTCACTGCAACCTCTGCCTCCCAGGTTCAAGCAATTCTCCTGTCTCAGCCTCCCGAGTAGCTGGGATTACAGGTGCTTGACACCATGCCTGGCTAATTTTTGTATTTTTAGTAAAGACGGGGTTTTGCCATGTTGACCAGGCTGGTCTCAAACTCCTGACCTCAAGTGATCCGCCCGTCTCGGCTTCCCAAAGTGCTGGGATTACAGGCATGAGCCACCGTGCCCGGCCTGAATTGTGGGTTTTTAAATGTTATTTTTATATTATATAATTTTTAACTCATTAAAAAAATACAAGGAAGTCTGTCCTGGAAACAAAAAAAAAATCCTAAAATTATTTATTTGTAAAAATGCAAATTATTTCCAATGGATTTGCATGCTCACTGGGATTGGACCTTCCAACAGCAAATTCAACACCAGGAGATACTAAAGAAAGGCCTTCAGAAATTCATGGTGAAGATTTCTGTGTTAATCTAAATTATTAAAGACAAAGGCAAACGACCTGTCGGCAGCTTGTCTCACACATTAAACCCAGCATGTCAGGCTTCATCTTGAGGAACGGGGAGGGATTGGCAGTAGACGCCTTAACCATTACATGTACTTTCCCTTCTACATCTTTTCCCTTATGCTTTATTTAATATAATTCAGGACAAAGACTTTATTTAATATAATTCAGGACAAAGATGGGCAAAGACTTCATGACGAAATCACCAAAAGCAATTGCAACAAAAGCTAAAATTGACAAATGGGATCAAATTAAACTAAAGAGCGTCTGCACAGCAAGAGAAACCATTATCAGAGCGAACAGACAAGCTACAGAATGGGAGACAATTTTTGCAATCTGTCCATCTGACAAAGGTCTAACATCCAGAATCCACAAGGAACTTAAACAAATTTACAGGAATAAAACATTAATAAGTGGGCAAAAGGCATGAGCAGACACTTGTCAAAAGAAGACATTCATGTGGCCAGGAAACATGGAACAAAGCTCAACATCACTGGTCATTAGAGAAATGCAAGTCAAAACCTCAATGGGATACCATCTCACACCAGTTGGAATTGCGATTATCAAAAAGTCAAGGAGAAACAGATGCCGGTGAGGTTGCAGAGAAATAGAAATGCTTTTACACTGTTAGTGGGAATGTAATTAGTTCAACCATTGTGGAAGATGGTGTGGTGATTCCTCAAAGATCTAGAACCAGAAATACCATTTGACTCAGCAATCCCTGGGTATATACCCAAAGGAATATAAATCATTCTATTACAAAGATACATGCATGCATATGTTTTTTGCAACACTATTCATAGTAGCAAAGACCTGGAATCAACCCAAATGCCCATCAATGATAGACTGGATAAAGAAAATGTGATACATATACACCATGGAATACTATGCATCCATAAAAAGGAACAATATCATGTCCTTGGCAGGGACATGGATGGAGCTGGAAGCCATTATCCTCAGCAAACCAATGCAGGAACAGAAAACCAAACACTGCATGTTCTCACTTATAAGTGGGAGCTGAACAGTGAGATCACATGAACACAGGGAGGGGGACAGCACACACTGGGACCTGTTGGAGGAGGGTGAGTTGGGACAGGGAGAGGATTAGGAACAACAGCCAATGCATGCTGGGCTTAATACCTAGGTGATGGGTTGACAGGTGCAGCAAACCACCATGGCACATGTTTACCTGTGTAACAAACCTGCAGATCCTGCACATGTGCCCCAGAACTTAAAATAACAACAAAAATTTTAAAAAATTTACAAATCTTGATACAGAGTGAAAGGGAAAGGAAGGTATTTCCAGAGCCACAATTAAAAAAAATTTTTATTGTTTCACACTTAGTGAAAGCAATTCTAAATGATGTAATTTAATTGGAAGATCAAAGAATCCAAAACATACAATGCGATATCCTCAAGGGAGGAAAAATGGGAAAAACCACACACTGAAACACACACACACACACGTGAACATGCACCCTCATAGTTACAGACATGGGTGAGTACACAGAATGGAAAAACCACATACTGAAACACACACGAACATGCACCCTCATAGATACACACATGAGTGAGTACTCAGAGCTCAGCTAATGTGTAATTTGAGCCCGTTTTCTCTACAGGGACAGGAGAAATGAATCCTTTTTCAAAAATATAGAATTGTTTTTGTAACTTGGCAATTGTGAATAGTGCTGCAATGAGCTTAGGAGTGTGGACGTCTCTTCTGTGGCCGATTTCATTTCTTCTGGTATACACCCAGCAGTGGGCTTGCTGGATTATATGGTGGTGGCATGTTTAGTTTTTTGAGGAGCTTCCATACTGTTTTCTAAAATGGCTGTGTTAATTTACATGTCCACCAATGGTGTGTAAGGATTTTTTCTCCTCATGCTCACCAACACTGATCTTTCACCATTCTGATAATAGGCAATCTAACAGCTGTGAGGTGATATCTCACTGCAAAATTTCACTTTCTACACATATATGTGTATACCTGTGTATACATATATACATACAATACACATGCATATATATGTACATACGTATCTGCACATATGTACGTATGGATGTTTATGTATGAATACATACATTTGCATATATACATATAGGCATATACTTACATACATATAAACTTTAAGAAGCTATAACCTCACATCTGTTAGGATGGTTACTATGAAAAAGAGTAGAATAACAAGTGTTAGCGAGAATGTAGAAAAAATAGAACCGCTGCCCTCCGCTAGTGGTAATGTAAATGAGTACAATGACCACAAAAATACTATAGATGTTTTTCAGAAGTTAATGATCAGAGCTACCCTGTGTTTCAACAATTTCACTGCTGGGTGTGTATCTAAAGGAAATGGAATCAGTACGTTGAAGAGATGCCCGCCCTCCCATGTTCATGACAGCTTTAGCCACCATAACCAAGACATGGAACCCGGCCAAGCGTCCATCAGCAGGCGAATGGATACAGAAAATGAAGCGCTCAGTATAAACACAGCGAAAAACTATTCCGCCTTCTAGAAGAAGGAAATTGTTTCATTTGTGACAACATGGACGAGCCTAGAGGACGTCACGCTACGCGGAATAAAGAAGGCACGGGAAGACACCTGCTGCCTGATCTCACTTATGTGCGGATTGCCCCAGTTGAACTCATGGAAGTAGAGAGTAGAAGGTGGTCCCCGGGAGCTGGGCTGGGGTGGAATCAGAGAGCTGCATCGAAGGATACCGCACTTCAGTTGGACAGGAGGAGTAAGTTTAGGAGATCTGTTGTACAGTATGGTGACTACAGTTGCTAACAATGGATTGCATACGCGAAAATTGGTAAGAAAGTGGATTTTAAATGTTCTCTTAACAGAAAGATAACTACGTGATGTTACAGATGTTAATTAGCTTGACCTAGCGATTTCACAGGCATATTAAAATACCATGTTGCACATCCTAAATATGTAGAATTTTAAACTGCCAAATAAAATAAAGTAAAACATTAAAATAAAATTTAAAAAAATATTATTTTGAAACAGAAAAACTGTAGAGTTTAAAATATGCCTGTTATAGAATGGAAAATTCTATTTTATATGTCATGACTTTTTTTTTTTTTTAATTTTTTGAGACAGAGTCTGGCTCTGTTGACCAGGCTGGAGCGCAGGGGCGGGATCTCAGCTCACTGCAGCCTCCATCTCCTGGGATCAAGTGATTCTCCTGCCTCTGCCTCCCAAGTAGCTGGGACTGCAGTGTGCGCCACCATGTCCGACTAATTTTTGTATTTTTAGTAGAGATGGGGTTTTGCCGTGTTGGCCAGGCTGGTCTTGAACTCCCAGCCTCAAGTAATCTGCCGCCTCTGCCACCCTATGTGTTGAGATTACAGGCGTGAGCCACCGCACCTGGGCACATTGCCACTTTTTCTATTCTCAAGAAACATTTGTGATGCTCTGGGTGTGTTTGTGTGTTTCATTAGTGTGTCAATATTTGTAAGAAATCACCAATGAAGCTTCGTGAACTCGAGATTATTTTTATTATAGTCAATGTTTTTCACACACACACACATATATATACACACACACACACATCTAAAATGAGTCAGATTCTCTGATTACTCTTATGTTCATTATGTAAACTCCAGTTTAGAATATTTCATCTATTTAATCTGCAATTTCTAGTATATTGGCATAGGTTTGCCGCCTGTTCCATTGTTAGTTTTGGAAAACGTGTGTACGATCTGTAGGGCTGTCTGCTGGCTCACTCCCATATGGAAATGCATGCCTGCTCTTTCTTTCTCTTTTTCATTGTAGTTAGAATTCATGAGTGTGATTCATGTTTTCAAGAATGAGCTTCACTGGCTTTGTTGAATTTTCAAGCTTTGGTTTTTCCTCATGAACAACTCCTCTTATTATTGTTATTATTCCCTTTCTTACGCCTTCATTTGGAATAACTTGTTATTCTTCTAAATTTCTTTTTTCTCTTTTTCTTTCTTTTTTTTTTTTTTTTTTAATTTGAGATGGAGTCTCCCTCTGTCGCCAGGCTGGAGAGCAGTGGTGCGATCTTGGCTCACTGAAACCTCTGACTCCCTGGTTCAAGCGATTCTCCTGCCTCAGCCTCCCAAATAGCTGGGATTACAGGCACTGCCACCACATCCAGCTAATTTTTGTATTTTTAGGAGAGACAGGGTTTCACCATGTTGGCCAAGATGGTCTCGATCTCCTGAACTCGTGATCTGCCCGCCTCGGCCTCCCAAAGTGCTGGAATTACAGGCGTGAGCCACCGTGCCCTGCCCTAAATTTCTTATAGGAAAGCCAAGATCATTCATTTCCTACTTTTTTTCTTTCCTAATTCATTCATTCGTGGCTTGTAGTTTTCCAGTTTCATCGCTTGATGTGTAATATTTACATTGTGATTCAGTTTAATGCACTTTCTGACTTAGTTTTCTCAGCTACTTCATTGATTATTGAGAAGTCTGTTGCTTTATTTCAAAATTGTAGAGACATTAGTTATTTATACTGCAGAATTGAGTGACCCCTAAAAGTTCCCAGAGTCTCCTGGGGTAGATCCAGGCTGGGTGGGGTCCAATGGTGTCCACTGGGGGGGCAGCTCCCATGCATTCCAGACTCCATGGAGTGTGGGGTCTGCGTCCCCCCCTGGGCTAGTGGATGGCCAGAGTGGCGTAGATGCTGGGCACAGCTGGAGAGGGCCCTTCCTGGGATGGAGGAGGCTCAGTTGCCTCCCGTCTGAGGGTCAAGCTGTGCAGCTGGGCGTAGGTCACATCCTGGGGGGCTTCAGATGCAGCAGCCTGCAGCGGGGGAGAGTGAGAGGGAAGGAACGTGGTGGGGGTGGGGGAGGCCTGGGGGCCTGGAGAGGAAAGGACTCACCTCAGTGTCCATCTGCCTGTCCTCTTCCGCCTGTCTGTCCTTTGTGTCCAGGAATTCCCCAGACAGTGGGGAAGGAGGAGAGGCCATTTCTCTCCTAGGTCTGGAGTGTTTCACCTCGGCATACGTCACTGCCTGGGGGTCTTCATCGTGTGGGCTCTGCTGGAGAGAGACAGTGGTGGGGGGTGTCCTTGAATCCTCCTGACCCCCTGGAGTCAATTTTCCTCACTGTTCCCCGGGTGATCCGATTACATCCCTTTCCCGATGGAATCTCAGGGACGCCCTAAGGCCGTGGAGGGTCTGGCCGCTCCCTCGCTGTGGTTCTGGCCTCTGCTCCTCACTCTGACGTTGCCCATTTGGCTGCAGCCTCACGGGCCTTCCTGCAAGAGCTCGCTGCTGCCTGGGGGCCTTTGCAGGGTTGTTTCCTCTGCCTGCAGGGGCTCGTCCATCAGAGGATCGTGTGCCCCACTCTGTCCAGGCTTCTCAGATGACAGCTGAGCAGACAGCCCTCCCCTTCCATTCAGACTGGCCCCACTGCCCCACACTCTCTGCCCTTTCTCTGGTTTATGTTCCTTACAGCACGTTGCACTCCTGGACGCGGCACATTTATTTGCATTTTGTCTCCCACCACGAGGTGAGCTCAGGAGGCGGGGGCGGCTTTCCTCCCTGCTGTGTCTGCAGCTCCCATGGGGAGCCCCATCCACAGTGAGCTCCCTGGGAACACTTGCTGGTTGAATGAATGAAGGGGAGCCTGGGGGACCGGGGTGGTTCATTTATTCCTCATCCTCCTGAGGCCTGGGGAGAGCTCTAACAACCAGACGGCCAAACAGAGGATGAGGAGCAGGAAGGGGACCCGGGAGGAGGCCCACGAGGTCCCAGGACAGCAGGAGAGAGTGAGGTCGCAGCAGGCGGGAGGCAGCGTGCTGGACAAGGAGGGGTCCACCGTGACGATGCTGAGAGCCGGGGGAAGGAGGACAGAGAAGTTCTGCAGGATTAGATCTGGCACCAGGAGGCCTTTGGTGCCTGGGACAGGGGTGGGGTCTCACCCGAGTGTCCATCTCCACCCCATCCTCAGGCTGTGTGTGCTTCACGGCAGCATCTGCTGGGGCAGAGCAAGGGGTTTGTCTCTTGGGAAGGTTCCCTGGGACCTCTGAGTCCTGCCAGCCCCTGCTCAGCTCCCAGATGGGGCCACTGAGATGCAGGGAGGGGCTGCGATGTCCCTGAGGCCCCACAGTGTGGGGTGAGATGATCTCACCCTGAGCCCCAGACCCTTTCCAGCCAGCGCCCCTTTCCCCATTGCTACGGAAACTTCGGGGCCCCCATCTCCCTCCTGGCTGGTCACCTCTTCCTCTCACTCACAGAGGTTTTCTTCCTGGGCATCGGCAGCTGGGCTGGACCTGGGGGAAGAATGGGAGCTTTAGGGGCAGTGTATGGGCCACGAGCAGGTGGGAGTCTGGGGTCTTCGGGCAGAATTACCTCCACTGCAGGCCTCTGTCTGTGGGCTCTGGCCCCACAGCCCCTGCAGGATGTTGGAAATCAGCCTTTCTCTGGGCTGGGGGAAGAAGGACAGAGCCTCAGCCCTGGGAACATTGGAGCCCCCTGCCCTGCACACACAGCTCGAAGGTAAGGAAGGAAACCTAAAAACACTCCTGCCTCCATGTTCCAAATGCCTCATAGGATGGACAGAGCCCGAAGGACACTTTACATTTGTAGATGGCACTGAGCCCGAAGGACACTTTACATTTGTAGATGGGACTGACTGTCGATTGGCCTGGTGAGAAATGCTGGAACAGTTTCTCAAAGCTGCATTTGCCCAGTGGTTTGGATTCTCTTTGGCTGTGCCCTGAGCCCACCCTCGGTCAGCCCTCAGGGTCCCCCCATTCCCTACTCACTCGATGTCCAGTGTTTGCCCTGACGTCGATGTCGGAGGATGAGGAAGAGGAGGAGGAGGAGGAGGAGCAGTAGGATGACGGCCACCAAGATGCCGATCACAACCCCCAGGTGCCTTCCCAGACCTTGAGCACGATGATGTCAGGGATGGGGGTGATGTCATTGAAATGAGCGCCTACTGTGTGCAGGTGACTGCTGGACCTTCTGTTCACCACCTCCAACCCCCACAACAGTCGTGCAGCACAGAAACATCCACCCCACCCACTGTACAGATGAAAAACTGACGCTCAGAGAGGGGAATCGCCTGCCCGGGGCCCCCAGCCAGGAAGCGGCAGAGCTGGGAAGGAAGCCCAGGAGTCTGACCTGCAGCCCTTGTTCCTGCACCAGAGCCGAGCCCCGGAGCTGCAGGGAAAGAGCCTGACCGTCCTGAACCATGACTCTTCTCCCCTCCCCTGCCCCAGGTCACCGTCTCTGCTGCAGGTGGGACGGGACAGGCCCCCGCGGAATCGGGTCTGGGAGGTTCCCTGGGAGGCCTCCTCTCCCAGGAGGTCACAGCTGGGAGTCAGAGCTGAAAGGAACTTTCCCACCCGCAGGCCTCTCACCTTTACATTTGGAGAAACTGAGGCCCAAGCAGGGGAGGAGCCTGTCTATATCACCACCTCCAGAGGAGACTGAACCTAGGACAGAACCCACCCCTGCCTCCCCTGGACCCTGCCCACCTCCCACTCAGAGCCCGTCACTCACCACTCTGGGGATCCGACCCGGTGGGGGTGAGGGGCTGGTCCTCAGGGCCTGCTGGGTCAGGACGGGGAGGTGAGGGCTGGGGCTGCCCTGCTCCCCACATCAGCCCGGCTGCTCCTCCCCCAGGCTGGGCCCCAACATTTCTCTCTGCCTTGACCCCCCACCCCTCACCAGCCCAGCCTCAGAGCCCTGGGGACCCTGTGGCCCCTCCTCTGGCTCTGCCCGGCTCCCTGGAGGGAAGCTCGAGTCTTTGAGGGGAATGGGATTCTCTGGGAGACCCAGGGCTGCCCTGGGGGAGGCCGCACTCCCTTGAGTTCAGAAGCCTCAGGGACTCACCAGATGTGGAGGTGGGGCCTGTTGTCGGGGAGCTGGGGCCCCCAGACGGTCCTGGGTAAAAGAATGAGAGGAGGCTGAGGAGCTGGGGCTTTCCTGAAGTCTCCACCTCAAACCAAATTTCTCTACATGGGACCTGTGGCCTCCCCAGGCCCCTCCCTCCACCCGTCTCTCCTGTCCATGATGCTGGCGATGCCACTGAGGGTGGGCAGGCCTGGGAGGGCCCTGTTCTCCTCCTTCCCTCTGAGGGTGAGTCTCCCACTGGCTGAGCCCCTCTCAGACCCCCGCTCACTCCATCCCAGCCCAGAGCTCTCCTGGGGCAGGGTCTGAGCTGAGACTTTGAGCTCAGAGAGGACAGGGTCAAGGCCCCCACCTGAGACCACGAGCTCCAGGGGGTCACTGGGGTGAGTCAGCAGGTAGGGTTTGGAGCTCTGTGAGCCGTAGCACCTGTAGGTCCCCGCATGGGCTGAGGTCACAGGACCCATGGGGAATTCAGCCTGGTATTTTTGAGATTGGTACGTTGATCTTAGACGCCATGGGTCATCAGCTGCCCCCTCCTTGGTCAGAAGGAAAGTTTGCATCCATCCCTGTGACTGACACAGCAGGGTCACGTTCTCTCCTGAGGCCACCGTGGGGCCCGGCTGCACCGAGAGGGAGACTCTGTCATAGAACTGTCCTGGAGAGAAGAAGGATGGGCGAGGGGCTGCCCCACCTTGCTCTGAGCTGACACCTCCCCAGGTCTCCCTCTGGGACCCTCAGTGTCTCTGTCTCTGTTTTCTCTGAGTCTCCCCCTCCCCGCCCATCCCCTGTCTCTGTCTGTCTCTCCCTCCCTTGGGACCCCCATCCCTCATCCCGGCCATCACTACCTGAGCTCCCCCGGCAGGGCCTGTGCGGAGCCTGGGTCCCTGACTGAACCCGCTGGGCTCCTCACCTGCGATCAGGATGTCCAGGGGGTCACTGGGGGCCGACCACTCGGAGGAGAGGTTGTGTGCACCGTAGCATCTGTACTGGCCCCCGTAGGAGCGGCTCACAGGGCCCAGGGTGAAGTTGGCCTGGGAGAGCCCAGCCTGGGGCTGTGCGCCAGCGAGCTGAAGGAAGTCACGTTCCCCGTCCTTATACAGAACAAATCTGTTGTAGCCAGCATCAGAGCCACACTGCAGAGTCAGGGTCTCCTCAGGGGCCACGATAGGACCTGGCTGCACTGAGAGTGATGGCTTCTTAGAAACACCTGGGAAAAGGTGGTCATGGTTTCCAGGAGCCGACCCTCAGGCTTCCCCACAAATCTTCCCTTTCCCCCGGGGCCACATCACTGCTGATCTTCCTGTGTCTCTGGCCCCAGGAGCCCTGAGCCCTCTCGCCCCAACATCATCCCACCTGGAACTGCCCTGAGACGCGGCTGCTCCCCACCTGCCTGGAGACTCAGGGAACTCCAGGCAATGCTGTGAATTTCTCACCTAGGACCAGGAGCTCCAGGAGATCACTGGGTAGAGACCACTCATAGGGAGAGTTCGAGTCATAAGCATAGCACCTGTACCACCACCTGCGACTCGGGCTCACGGGGCCCACGGAGAAGATGGCGCGGGACGACCCACGGGCATGGGGCTGGGAGTTCAGGCATTGTGGGTGTTCATCTTCTCCTTCCTTACACAGACTGAAGCCATCAAATGCCACCTGTGAGTCACACTGGAGGATTACATTCCCTCCTGAGTTCACCACGGGGCTGGGCTGGGCTGAGAGGGTGGGTTTGATGTAGGCTCCTAGGAGAGAAGGAGGCACCGTGTTAAATGTGGCTCAGACCACCCGCGTCATCCCCAGGGCTGGGCTGTGAGAGGGAGAAGCCCCTGAGAGCCGTCCCCCTTCCTGAGGGCAGAGTCTGGGGCTGGGACCCCTGAGTGTCAGCTCACCTGTCACCACCAGCTCCAGGGGGTCACTGCTCTCTGAGCGGCCTGCAGTGTCGCTACCATAGTAACAGCGATACCGCCCTGCATGTTCCCAGGTGATGGATGGGATGGGGAACTGGCCCTTCTTCACAAGCTCCTGTGGGATCCGTGTAATCCAGAGTGCTGTTTTCTTTTCTCTATATAGACGGTACTCCTGGGTCTCCTGGCCCCCCTGACACCTGAGGGTCACAGGACTCCCCTGGGTGATCACAGAGCCTGGTTCAGCCCAGAGGGTGGGCTTGGGGAGGTGCCCTGGAAGGAAATCAGGAGTCGGATTCTAACTCATTTCCCACCCAACCCAGCAGATTCCAGCTCTCAGCCCAGGACCCTCCAGACGCCCCGATCAGTCAGCCCAGAACTGCTATTCCCCATCCCCAGCGGCACGGGGGTGGCCCCTTGTCCCCAGTGAGGAGGAGGGACCTGGAAGAGCTGGGGACAGACTCACCTGCCTGCACGTGGGTCCTGGGGCCCAGACTCAGCCCTGGAAGAGAGTTCCCGGTGAGGGATTTGCCCCCTGAAGCCTGGGCAGGTCCTCCCCTCCCTGGGATCTTTGTGAGCCCCTGGGGTCTCCTTAGGGACCAGAGTTTGGCTGTGGGGTGAGGTCCCTCTTAGGTTAGAAGCTCCCCTCCTTCTTCAAATCTCACCGAGACAGATCAGGACCGTGAGGATGGGGGTCATGGCGTCTCCTCCCACTGCCCTGCTCTGTGGATGGATGAGCCCTCGGTGCTGGCAGGATAGAGAGACACACAGAGTGTGGCCAATCGGAGGCTGGGTCCTTCTTCTCATGGGGTGCTGTCATCTGCAGCCACACAGGAAGTGGAACTGCCCTCCCCAGGACCCTTGCTCTCATTCCATTAGGGCTGAGGTGGGGGCAGTCACTAGGCCCTCTGCATCATTTCAGATGGTAATGGGCCCTTTCCTGACCCCCAGCCACCGTCTGTCTGGTTTGTTTTCATCCCACTGAGAGCCAGGATGTAGCAGCAAATAAAACTGGTTCCTTCCTGTGTCTGCCCTTCCTGACGAGGGTAGCGGAGGCATCTCCTTCCTTCTCACAGCCTCCCACATGGTCACCCTCCCTCCTTCAGCCGTCCATCAGCTCAGCGTTGTGGGGTCCTTACCATGGCAGTCGTCCCTCCAGCCCTGGAGATGCTTCAGGGAAGACCCAGGTCCATGCTGCAGGCAGACTCAGATCAGCAGAGACGCATCTCGCATCTGGCTGTGCCGCCCAGGCTGAGCTGCGTGTGGCAGCGAGCACAGAAGAGAAATGCAGGGAAATAGGGAAGAAAAGTTGACTTCTTTCTTGACACTGGATTGTGGGTTTTCTTTCAACCAAATAGTCCCCTCTTAACTTCCCCTTTTTAAAATATTTTGCTACAGTGTCCAACCCCACCCCCCGGGAACAAATCTCTGAGTCTTTCCTGCCTCCTCGGTGCCCTTTGCTTACTTGGCCGTCCCTCTGCACCTCAATCCCTGTTCAACGCTTTGGGAACAATGACTTATATTTGAGCTTTGATTTGGGGAGTTGGGGGGGAGTTATATTTATTCAACGACTGGTTATCATCCACTGCCTACGTGACCTCGGGCGGTAATGAACCATCTCTGAGCCTCAGATTCTTCCTTTGCCGACTGTTGTCACAAATCCCACTCGTGACAGTGGTTGTACGGTCAGTGGTGCTGGAACATTAGGAGGGGCTCATTTGTGCTTGATTTCCAGACCAGGGTAAGACCTGAGGTGTTTGGGACATAAGAGGATCTTGGCGTTGGACTCCACAGTCTACGTAGGTGATTGATGTGTCCACTCTGGATCTCACATCTGACCCTAATGGATAGATGGACGTGTATTTGTCCATCTATCTGGGCATTTCTGAAATACCCAGAGCATCAATGTCATGAGCAGAAAAAGAGATGTGGAAGTTCCCAAGTGTAGATGGATCCACAGGAAAGAACAGAGGCCACAGGTGAGATGCCACAGGGACCTGGGACCATCAAGGGCTCATTAGGGTGGAGGTTTCCACCACTGAGTGGAGCCAGGAGAGGAACCTCGGGATCTGCAATGACAGTGAGGGGCTCAGGGCTCCAGACCAAGGTGGGAGGCTGCGTCCTCCAGCTACACCTGAGGCTGGAGTGGACCCCAAGCAGCCCAGGGGAATTCCCTCAAGGGAGTGCACCAAACCGTCCAGTGACAGAGCTGCTGGGATTCCAAAGAAAGAAGCACTAAACACCAGGGTGTTCATAGATCATTTATTAGGGAGACTTCTGCACAGTGGGGCACCCTCGTCTCCTTGCCCAGTGTCTCCTTGTGGATCTCAAGGATGTGCTTCCACATAGCAGCATCTTCTTCAGATGGACAAGGAGACACTGGGTGTTCTACCCGAAGCTTTAACTTAAAATAAAAATAAAAACAAAAATAAACCCCTAGAGAATATGATCTCTCAGTAGAGTTGTTTCTTGGGATACACAGGCAATTCGTTTCAGTACCCCCTACATGCACCAACACCTGCTCGTACTCCAGCCCCGACATTGTCTCTGCTGGGCCTGCATATAGGAAAAGTCTGCCGTTCATATACACAAGTCTTGCATCCCACAAATGCTACAGTTTTGACCCCCGTTTGGTTGAAAAAAGTGTGCATATAAGAGACCCCAGGAATTCAAGGCTGCGTTGCTCCAGGGTTGTCTGGATTTTGAGTTTATTTGGGAGTGAGAAGCAAGGATTACAATCTGGAGTGCATGGCATGGCAAGCCACAGTGTGTCCGGAGAGGGAAGTGTGATGTTGTGATACACACTGGTTTTCACCTGCGGTTCCTGGCTCATAGCTCCATAGCCCTTGTTACAGTCTTTTGTTATAACATTGGCTGTGTTAGGCCTTAGGGGAGGCCTCTGACCTCCTCCTGCCCTTCCTTCACCTGCCCAAGGCAAGACTCTAATGTCCCTGCCTTTCTGATGGTGGCTCTTAAGACCCTCCCAGAAGATGGTCTCAGCCTGTTCCTTGTGGGAGGAAATACTGACATCATGAAGCTTCATAAAAACCCAAGAAGACTGGGTTTCGTGGGTTTCTGGGTGGTTGAGCATGTGGAGACTCCTGGAGGGTGATGCCCAGGGAGGGTATGGAAGCCCTGCGCCCCTTCCCCCATGCCTCCTCCTATGAGTCTCTTCATCTGTGTCCTCTGCAGTGTGCTTTGTATTCAACCAGGAAACGTCAGTGTCTCTCTGAGTTCTGTGAGCTGCTACAGCAAATTAATCAAACCCAAAGAGGTGGTCATAGGGTCCCCAACTTGAAGCCAGTCAGTCAGAAGTTCTGGAGGTCTGGACTTGGGAATGGTGTGGGGGCAGTGTTGGGGACTGAACCATTCAATCTGTGGGATCTGGGACTGTCTCTGGGTAGACAGTGTCAGAGCTATGCTAACATTCTCAAATATCTGCTAGCCGTGATAAATAAATCAATGTACTTTATGTTATTAGCTCCCACAATTTAGCCTAAATATTTGCCCTGGCATGCTTATACTGGTCCAAGCAAGCATTAGGTCATAGCCTGTTCCTCTTCCTTATTTGAAGGTGTTTTCACCTTTCTCAGCATTCCACAAGTTACTTCCTCCTTCCTTTGTTCTGCTCTACCTTTGCCTCTTTTCAGAAGTTCTAAGTTACTAGCCAATCGGGACAAATACAGAGTGTGAGGTCCTGTTCCAGCCAGTGGAAACCGGACAGAGCAGTAGGGTGGACGTGTCAGGTTATAAATGACCCTGTCTCTTTTGTTTTGTGTACTCTCGAAGCAAAACTGCTGGTGAGTGTACCCTTGCTGCAGAAAATAAAAATGGTCTTGCTGAGTAAATTAAATTTATGTTCAAGTGCTATTTGTTTACGGCACTGGGGAAGAAGCATTTAAACACTCAGCTGGCGTCCGCTACTGGGTCTAGGAAAAAAAATCCCACACATCTGGTCCTAGAAGTCTTCTTCTGTGAGGATGATTCCTGTGGTGTGAGAGTAGAGGAAAAGCACCATAGAGAGAGCTCTCTGACATACAGAAGTAAAGGAAGTTCTTATCAGCAACAAGAGAGAGGCTGACAGAGCTGCTTAGAAACAGAGTTCCCTGATTCCAGAGGTTCAAAGCCAGAGTTGCTGTCAGTCCATTGGAGGAGATGCCGTTGCTGGGCAAGTTTTTTCTCGAGAGCATCTTATCTGAATTCCTGACATCCTAAAGAATATCTAGTGATAAACCTTGTCAAAGCAGGAGGGGGTGAAGGACATGGAAGGGTTTCTTGTGGGGTTTTTAAAAAGTCCTTAGAAGCAGCTCTTATCTGAGAGCTGGAAGCATGGGCCTCCTCTCCTTCAGGCCTTCCTGGCCCTGTGGGGTCTGAGCTTGACCAAAGTCATCTCATCCTTGCACATGTGACTTTCCTATTGGGTGTCTGCAGTGAAGGGATTGGGTTACGAAGTTTAACCTGAGAGTTTCAGGAATTTCGTTGAGGGGAGGGCTTGTTTCTACCTCTTTAGCAAAAGGGTTAATTTTTCAGTGTTTTCTAAAAACAACCTAAAGTGCTTTATCAGTACTTGGGGATGCTGAAGACCTCAGCTTGGGTTCCAGCCTGCAGGTGAAAGCATGCATCTGTCCAACCCACAGAGCAGTCATGGCACTTTGTCTCTCTCTCAGAACAAAGCAAAAAATGGAGGAAACCGTGGGACCCTAGAGAGACTGTTGTTCTCCCTCTTCTGTGTTTGTGGACAGACCCTGGGATAGCTCCCCTCAGTGACCCGGGCCACACTCAGCATTGAGCCACCTTCCCGGGTGTGCATGACACAGATGCGCTTTATCACTGCTGGACCAGGCATCTCTAGCACGTGAGTGTGAGGCTCACATGGGCCCCACCATGCCGGACAGAACACAGAGCTGATTCTAAGCTTGGCAGCATGGACACCGCAGGGCAGGAGTGACCACAGCAATGCTCCTCATCAGCTTTCCTTCCTGAGTCAGCCCGGGGAGAAACTGTATGGAAGATCACATGTGTGGGAGAAAAACCCACCCAAGAGAAATAAAAATCAAAAAGTCCATTACAGAAAAAACAGGCAATTATAGAAATGAATTAGGAAGCTACTGTGAGGTGAAAAATAGTAAATCATATCAACACATTTAGAAATAATTGCATAAGAACAAGACACAGCTGAAATGATGAGCATAGTATTGGTGTGGAATATCTATTAAATTTTTCATTAGTCATCAGAGAAAAACTAGAAATGAATAAAGTAGAAAACATAATTAATGCACACAAGAAATGGAATGAGAAGAGGAAACAGGTATCTCTCTATGGATCACACTTTCAGAATGAAGGAAATAAGGAGTACGTTATTCAGTAAATATTGCAAAGAAAATGGTTGACATTTTTACAGAAATGAAGAAAGAACATGAGTTTAATGTGAACAAATTAATAAATAACATCAATGTCTTAACTATGATAGAGTAAAAGATACCTAGAATAGATACAAAGTAATTTTAAAACTACTGGAGAAAATGAAAATTATTCTCAAATGAAAGACAAGCACATTGGGACCGGATTTCCCAAGAGTAAAAAGTGACAAGAAAATGATTGTGGGCTGAGGTTCAAGTTGGCTGAATGGAAAGGGCTGGAGTCTGCCTACTCACTAAGAGGACCCAAAATAGTGAGTAAATACCAACAGGTCAAGTGGATCTTCCAAGAGGATGCTGGGGTTCACCTGAGAAACATGAGGACATGGAAAGAAGAGAAGAGAAAAGGTGGGAGCCAGGAGAGGCTCCTAACACAGGGAAGGGGTGAGTGAGTGAGAGATTCTCTAACACGGGGAAGGGGTGAGTGAGTGAGAGATTCTCTAACACGGGGAAGGGGTGAGTGAGTGAGAGGCTCCTAACATGGGGAAGGGGTGAGTGAATGAGAGAGTCCCTAACACGGGGAAGGGGTGAGTGAGTGAGAGGGTCCCTAACACGGGGAAGGGGTGAGTGAGTGAGAGATTCCCTAACATGGGGAAGGGGTGAGTGAGTGCGAGGCTCCCTAACCCGGGGAAGGGGTGAGTGAGTGCGAGGCTCCCTAACACGGGGAAGGGGTGAGTGAGAGGGTCCCTAACACGGGGAAGGGGTGAGTGAGTGCGAGGCTCCCTAACACGGGGAAGGGGTGAGTGAGTGAGAGGCTCCTTAACAAAGGGAAAGATTGAGTGGGTGTGAGGCCCCTGGGATCCACACCCCTGTCTTGGCCCTTTACAATCCTGGTCACAGGAGAGCCCCTGACCCCCCTTGGCCTACAGAGGCACAGGGAGTTCCCAGAGATGGTGCAGAGGCGCCTCTGGAGCCCACGTGGAATCCCACAGGCTTCTGATCCCTGAGCAGCCTGGGTCCAGCTGACACTGCCTTAGCAGGGAGGGAGGAGGCCAGGCACCTCTGTGGGCCCCAGAATAAGTATGACAGCTGGGGCACAGGAGCAGCCAAGCTGAGCACCACACAGCTGCCCACCTCTGTTGCTTCCTGCGAAATGGGGCTTCCTTCCTGCTAATGGGGCTTGCCAGCTGCAGGGCCCCAGTCACCCGTCCTGCCCCCACCCGAACACGGTGGCCCTGGCTCAGTGCCCTCTGAAAGCCCAATGCTCAGAGGCCCCTGACAAGCCCTTTGCAGTCACTGCCACCTCTGCCTCTGCCCCTGCTGCCCCAGGCCCAGGGAGGGTGTGGGGAGGCCTGGCACTTTCACGTGTCCCCAGAGCAAAACCGAGTGACACTTCAGGAGGGAAGTGTGAGCGGGCCCTGTGCCTCACAGCTGCCAGTCTCCAGTGCCCCAGCCGAGGGGCGCTGCCCTCCCTAGTGACAGGCCCACAGCACAGCCACCCTGCCCCCACCTGGACATTTCAGCTGCAGCCCCCAGCCCTTCTGAGAGCCCAGTCCCCACAGGTCTGTGATCTGCCGCAGGCTCTACCACCTGAGCCTTCTGCCTGCCCCGCCTGAGGGTTCTGCCTGTGCCCTGGGGACCAGCCCATCCCTCCCCATCACAGCCAGCATCTGAACCCCGGAGCAGCCAAAACCCAGTCCAGCCCCTTCAGGACTCACACACGCTGTCCAGCCGGCCACCTAGGGGCCTGTGATCCGGGAACTACCTGCCCTTTCCTACCCTGCTGGCACCTGACCACTCACCCCAGGGCCTGAGGTCGGGCCCACCCAGCCAGCAACACCACCACAACTGACGTCCACTCTCCCATCCAGAGAGGCAGAAGCCCCACATCCCACCTACATGAAGCAGCTACCACGTCAGACAACAGACAGCCGCTCAGGGTCTGCACTGGGCTGAGGGAGGAGGCTCTGCCTTGGAACCACGCCTGCAGAGAGTGGCAAGGCAGGTGTTTCCCACGGCCCTCAGCCACACTGTGGCCTGGGGAGAGACAAGAGTGTGTGTCTGAACTGAGACTCATGAGCCCTGGAGCACGGGTGTGATAGGGAGACAGACAACGTTCCTCCCTATGGGACTGGAAACGGTGTAGCTCCTTCACCCCCCGCAGAGACCTCAGGGCATTTCACTAGGAGCTGCTCCAGCCATGTCCATCAGGACTAGTGCCTGCACTCATCACTGGGATATCTGTGGGCAAGCCGGGGGTTCCAGCTCTGCCCAGGGGTGTTCCCTCGCCCCTGTGGAACACAAAGCTCAGGGCACCTGACACTCCACGGTCCAGCCCTTCCCCTGAAACAACAGTCAGCACCTCACAGGAAACACACCAGGTCCATATCCACCTGCTTGTGCCGAGGGTGGCTCTTACCCTTAAGCACCAGCTCCTGGCCTGCAATTTGAGCTGCACAGCCCAACACAAACCCTGCTGCAGAAGCTCCCAAAGCCATGGGAAAAGCCAAAAGACCCTTCCCAACATGCTCTACAGTCACCCTCCCTGCGGGGCCAGGGGAAAATGTGCAAAACAAATCCCATCCAAATGAAAATAAATTCGAAGAGAGTAAGTGGAGGCCTCTCCAGAAGAGAAGGAATCAGTGTAAGGATTCTGACGCTGTGAAAAATCTGAATATTGTGGCACCACCAAAGGATCGCACTGGCTTGCTAGTGATGGATGCTGAAAACAATGGAAACTCTGAAAGGACAGATAAAGAATGAGATTGAGACAAAAACATTACAAAGAATCAATGAAAGAAAACGTTGGTTTTTTGAAAGTATAAATAAAATTGAGAGATGGCTGACTACACTAACCAAAAAAAGGAGAAGATTTAAATAAGCACAATCAGAAATGATAAAGTTGACATTACAACCAACGCCACAGAAATACAAATGACCATCAGAGACTACTATGAACACCTTTATGCACATAAACTAGAAAACCTAGAGAAATGGATGAATTCCTAGACACATACAACTTCCTAAGATCGCACAGGCAAAAAATAGAAACCCTAAACAGACCAATAACAAGTAACCAAAAAGAATCAGTACTAAAAATCTTCCGGCAAAAAAGCCCAAGAACAGATGGATTCACAGTCGAAATTTGCCATATACACAACGAAGAGCTGGTGCCAATCATAATGAAAGTATTCCAAAAAATCAAGGCGATGGGATTCTTTCCTAGCTCATTCTATGAAACCAATATCACCCTGATAGCAAAATCAGACAGGGATCCAACAGAAAAATAAAACTACAGGCCAAGAAACCTGAGGAACACAGGTGCAAAAATCCTCAAGAAAATGCTATTAAACGGAATCTAACAGTGTATCAAAAACATAATTCATCATGATCAAGTTGGCTTGATTCCAGGGATGAAAGGATGGTTCAATATATGCAAGCCAATAAAAGTGACTCATGACATAAACTAAGAACAAAAAGCATATGGTCATCTCAATAGATGCAGATAAAGCGTTCGAGAAAGTCCAATATCCCTTCATGATAAAATCCCTCAACAGACTAGGCATGAAAGAAACATACCCCAAAATAAGAGCCTTATATGACAAACGCACAGCCAACCTTAAAATTGAATGGGGAGAAGTGAAAGCATTTCCCCAAGAAATGGAACAGGACAAGGATGTCCACTCTCACCACTCCTATTCAACACAGTACTGGAAGTCCTAGCCAGAGCAATCAGGCAACAGAAAGAAAGAAAGTGCATCCACATTGGAAAAGAGAAAGTGAAATTATCTGTGTGTGCTGATGACACGATCATATACCCAGAAAACCCTGAAGATTCTTCCAGAAGACTCGTAGACTTGGTAAGTGACTTCAGTAAAGTCTCTGGATAAAAAAATCAAGCTACAAAAATCAGTAGCTTTTCTATACATCAGTACCGTTCAAGCTGAGAATCAAATTAAGAACACACAAACACAAACACACACTGAGGAGTATATTTAACCAAGGAGGTGAAAGACCTCTACACAGAGAGTGACAAAAGGCTGATGAAAGGAACTGTAGGCAACACAACCAAATAGAAAAATATTCCTTGCTCACAAATGGGAAGAATCAATATTGTTAAAATGACCATATTGCCCAAAGCATACTACAGATTCAACACAATTCCTATTAAATTACAAATGTCATTTCTTTAACAGAATTAGAGAAAAAGCAATTTTTAAATTCATTTGGAACCAAAAACCAGCCTGAACAGCTAAAACACTTCTATGCAAAAAGAACAAAACAGGAGACATCACATTGCCTGATTTCAAGTTATACTATAAGGCCATAGTAACTAAGACAGCATTTACTAGTACAAAAATATACACAGACATCAAGGGAACAGAATAGAGAAACTAGAAATAAAGATACATGCCTACAACATACTGAGCTTTGCTAAAGTCAACAAAGTAAACAATGGGGAAAGGACACCCTATTCAATAAAGGATGCTGGAAAAACTGGGTAGCCATATGCAAAAGAATAAAACTGGACCTTTATCTCCCACCATGTACAAAAATCAACTCAAGATGAATTAAAGACCTCAATGTGAGACCTGAAACTATGTAATTCCTAAAGCAAAATTTAGGAAAAACCCTTCTGGACATTAGTCCAGGCAAAGAACTTATGGTAAAGACCCTTAAAAATGCAACAAACCCCCGAATAGACAAATGAGACATGATTAAAATTAAAAGCTACTGCACAGCAAAAGAAACAATCAACAGAATGAACAGACAACCTACACAATGGAAGAAAATATTTGCAAATTATGCCTCCAACAAAAGACTAATGTCCAGAATCTGCAAGGAAGTCAAAGAATTCAACATGAAAAAAAAAACAAAAAACACAGACAACTTTATGGAAAACTGAGTAAAGACCATCAACAGACATTTCTCAAAACAAGAAATATAAGTGGCCAACAAACACATTAAAAAATGCTCAACATCATTAATCATCAGAGAAATTCAACTTAAAACCACACTGAGTATCAACTTACACCAGTCAAAATGGCTACTTTTAAGAAGTCAGAACCAACAGATGTTAGCAAGATACATGGTTGGTAGGAATGTAAATGAGTTTATCTTCTATGGAAAATAATATGGAGCTATCTCAAAGAACTAAAAATAGAACTACCATTTCACTTAGCAATCCCATTACATGGTATCCAGCCAAAGGAAAAGTCATTATATTAAAAAGACAATTGGGTCAGGTGTGGTGGCTCACGCCTGTAATCCCAGCACTTTGGGAGGCCAAGACAGGCAGATCACCTGAGGTTGGGAGTGTGAGACCAGCCTGGGCAACATGGTGAAACCCTGTCTCTACTAAAAATACAAAAAATTAGCTAGGCATGGTGGCGAGCACCTGTAATCCCAGCTACTTGGGAGGCTAAGGCAGGAGAATCGCTTGAACCCAGGAGCCGGAGGTTGCAGTGAGCAGAGATGGCACCATTGCACTCCAGCCTGGGCAACAAGAATGAAACTCCATCTCAAAAAATAAAAAATAAATAAATAAATAAGACAACTGCACTCATTATGTTTGTTGCAGCACTATTCACAACAGCACAGACATGAAACCAAACTAAGTGTCCACCAACGGTTGATTGATTTTAATGGTTACTTGGTTCATATGCTTCATACACCAGCCCCACCTGGCTCGCATACAAAGCATATTCACTGCTTCATCTGGGATGCTGCACTTGGTGTTTTATAGGGAGAGTTGGCTAGTCCCCTTCTCAGGGCCAACAGACCTTTCAGTGGCGTTTGTCTGGTCCACTAAGCTGGTTGTTCTCTCTGGAATAACCTCCTGTGCATTTGGATCTCATATACTCATTAGTGATTGTTTAATAGTGAGCTACGGGTCCTGCATCAATCCAAACAAGCTCTTAAATTCTGAAGCATTTAAAATTAAGAATGTGGGCGTGAACCTGGGAGGCAGAGCTTGCAGTGAGCCGAAATCACGCCACTGCACTCCATCCAGCCTGGGCAACAGAGCAAGACTCCATCTCAAAAAAAAAATTAAGAATTTGGCCCTTAAAGTGGTTATTTTTTACAATCTACCACATAGATTATTTTTAAGAAACTGATTATAACAATCTAAAAAGCAGAACAATTCCTTTGCATTATACCCTCTGGTTTTAATAGTTACTTGTTTTTGCCCTTCCTCTATATCAACTATCTTCTTGGTAATCACAGGTCTCAGAGTTAACTTTTGTTGTCCTGGCTAAATTGTTCTTTTTATTTAGTTTTATCTCCGTAATTTTTTCTTCATTTTAAAGCAACTCTTAAATAGTTTCTTAACTAGAAAAAAACCTACTTTTTTTTTTGCAAAACCTATATCCTTGTGTTTTATATGCATCACCAAAAACATTTTATACTCCTACTATTTTAATTTAGTAACCCAAATTTCAAGTGAAAAAAAAAAAAACGAGGTTTAACATAACATAGCTCTAATTACTGGAGAGAGTTTTAAGATTAAATTTACTAAATTAATTTTACTAAATATTAAAATCAGGTGAATTCAAAGGCATCTTAGCTAGTGTCTGCCAATCTGATAAGCACTTACTTTTTTTTAAAAAAGACAACTGATGAGCTGTTTCATGTAGTTTGGTAGTGAAATATCACTTCCAGATAACACATATGAAGATACAGATATAACAGGCATACAGAATAAAAAAAGCAGGTCTAAAGGATATTTCATTTTTCTGTTTTTAAATAAAAATTCCTCTCTTACTTTAGATAATTAATAAAAGTTACAGAAGCCAACACAAGGTGAAGGAGAGAGCTATCATCCAAGGCCTTTCAAAAGAGAAAAAGCTGAACTTTGATATATTCATTGGAAGAATTTCAAAAAGACAGATTATAGAATTTAAAAATTAAAAACTTTTTGCATTAAGAATAAGTTAATATTTTACTAAAACCTTGTTTTAACCAATTATTTAGTTTTGGATTAGGGTGTGTTTTTTAAATATCAAAGACCCATCTGTAGAATGACTATTATATTTCTTAATCATAACCAACTACATTACACTACCTTTCTTTTTTTAAAAAAAGTCTTATTGTGACTTACAGAGACCACTTACAACATGCTTAAACTGCCTGTTTTGTCCTAAATATCCCTCTTTCTTGAACTATCAGTTATTTTATTTCAGGACAAAAATTCACTACATAAGACTTTCTTGTGTAAAATTACTTTCCTTTTCATCTTTTTTACCAAAATTCCTCTTTATATTTATAACTGTCTTTACATCTCTTATTTCCTGTTTCCATTTATCTTGTTTTATACATAACTTTTAAAAAAGCTTTGAATTAAACACAGATATTTATCTTTTAATAAGAATTGTTTTTTAAAAATGTTTTCCTGTAATTTTTAAATTATAAATTACCCAGCTAGTCAATTAATATCTATTATTTAATATAACTTTAGATTGTAAATTATGTGACAAGTTTGTTTATAGGCATTTATTCCATTGCATTTACTTGATAAACTTATTTAATAGTTTACCTAGATTATTTATGAACACTGTGACAGTCATCACTTAAAGTTAATTCCCTGTTAACCAATGTTATAAACTATGAATTTCAGGTGTTTACCTAAGTAAGGAAACTTATGGTTAAATATAAAGTTATTTTTTTTAACCAATATCTCAGTAGTTAGCTGTTTTTATTTAACCAACAATATTACATGGCTTATTTATTAAAAATTATACAAGCAAAGATCATTCTGTTTTGGGCTGGGTTTATAATTTTGTTTTGTGTGTGTCAGGCTGCTCTTGAACTCCCAACCTCAGGTGATCCACCAGCCTCGGCCTCCCAAAGTGCTGGGGTTACAGGCGTGAGCCACCGTGCCCGGCCAGGTTTATAGTTTTATAACCCTTATGGAAAATCTTATACTATTCTGCAGGGATAAGCACAAAACCACTTGTGCAATAAGTGCAAACAAAAATGCTAACAATTCTTAAGACATTTCTAATCTTATTTTACCAATAATTTTAAAGCCAGCTTATTTATTAAAGATTTTACTTAAGTGAACTTGAAGAAGCATCTTGTCCTGATAAAGTATTTGATTTAAGCACTTTTATTCTCTTTAAGCCAATTAATTAGAGCTCTTTTGTATATTTTTAGTAGTGAAACATTATGTACACCACACACAGATTCATGGACGCATTAGGCATGCTGATAGTAGTACATCTTATAGATTCAAAAAACCTCTTTTTTTCTATCTCAAACTTTCAAACTCTTTTTTTTTCTTTTTTTCTTTTTTTCTTTTTTTTTTTTTTTTGAGGCAGGGGCTCACTCTGTCACCCAGACTGGAATGCAGTGGCATGATCCCAGCTCACTGCAACCTACATCTCCCATGCTGAAGCGATTCTCCTGTCTCAGTCTCCCAAGTAGCTGGGATTACGAGTGTGCCACTACTGCCTGGCTAAGTTTTGCATTTTTAGTAGAGACAGGGATTCACCATGTTGGCCAGGCTGGTCTTGAACTCCTGATCTCACATGAGTCACCTACCTCAGCTTCCCAAAGTGCTGGGAATACAAGTGTGAGCCACCACGCCCAACCCTTTCAAACTCTTCATAACCTGTTTCCTTACCCCAGGCAGTTGTCAGCTAAATAACCCTAAATTTCCATGTTACAGGAAACACTTTTTAGGAGAAAAAATCAGCAAAACTTACATCTCAAAGTACAGAGGAAGAAGTCTGGTGTGTTAGAGGGAAATTAAAATGGGTTCACTGCCAATTAAACATAAAATTATAGAAATCTATCATAAAGGCTTTTAAACACACACACACCACACACACACACACACACACACACACACACACACACACACAGACATCCTGTAGCTTTTACTTCAAAACTCTAGCCATGAGATATTAATATAAATTTACCAGCTTGCAAAAAAAATTTGGATCTAAACAGTGGTTTTTATCTCAGTAGAAAGGTAACAGCAGATGTAAAGCAGGCAGAAAAGAAAATAGAGAAAGAGAGAACTTAGGAACTCTATAGCGTGCAAGCTGCCATTAGGGCTCTCTTACCTTGATGTAAATGTGCACAAAGACCATAATATTTTTGTTTTACACAAACTCCAGAAAGTAGAGGCGCCATAAAACCAATGGAGTGCCCACAAGGGGGTCACTCTTCTTGCTTTCTCCTCATTCTTAGATTATTTGTTTCCCACTTTTTCTTTTCTTTTCTTTTCTGTTCCTCCTCTCCTCTCCTCTTTTCTCTTCTCTTCTTAAAGGAGGAAGTGAGCTGTGGGCTAGAGGTTTGTGCAGTGGGTCACAGTGTGCTGGTTGTGGGTGGGACTCCACAGGGTCTCACCACTGAGTCATTTCTTCCCTCTCATGTGTCTCAGTTTCTCTCTCGGAAGGTCTAAACACCTCCAGGAGGGCCCAAAATGCAGAGTGACCAGCTCCCATATGTGCTTCCTGGACAAGCCTTTTTAAAACTCATTTTGTTGGGTGTTCCCTGTAGGCCACTCACATCACGATGGGGTCCACCCACCCCCAGACATTCCCACAAGCACCCCTCATCACTTCCCACATTTTGGCTGGGAGGAGCAAAATGCCCTTTCTTTTTTAAGCTGAGGAAACACAGTCTCTCGTTTCCCTATGAAAACAACAGTTCAGTTCCTCATGCAAATGTGAACAGACAAGCCAAATCGAGATTAATTTGGGGAGAAAAGCAATGGAGAAGACCCTTTAGAATGTATCTCCCAACTAGAAGTAGGATCCTTAAACAACAACTTCCTAGAAAGAAAAAGAAATAGTAGATCAGAATAAATAAAGGGCCGTCAACCAAAGGGAGGTCGGGGCTCAGGAGGACTTACCACTTCTGGCAGAGAAGAAGCTCAAAATCCTGGAGGCTTTCAGTGGGCCCCTGCTGGTACCTTAGCTCCAGGTTGAGACAACTCCTTTGGGGTCCTGAGTCTTATCTGAGGCCTCACGTGTTCAGGCACCAAATTATTGTGGACAAAAAGAGTCAAACTCTGTAATATATTAGAAGAGATTTTTCTGAGCCAAATATGAGTGATCAGCACTCAGGAGGTCCTGAGAACATGTGTCCCTTGACTTTTTAATAATAGCCATTCTGACAGGTATCAGATGGTATCTCATTGTGGTTTTGATTTGCATTTCTCTCATGATCAGTGATGTTGAGCTTTTTTTATATGATTGTTGGCCACATGTATGTCTTCTTTTGAAAAGCGTCTGTTCATGTCGTTTGCCCACATTTTAATGTGGTTGTTTGTTTTCTTCTTGTAAATTGGTTTAAGTTCCTTAAAGATACTGGAGAGTAGACCTTTGTTAGATGCACAGTTTGCAAAAACTTTCTCCCAGTCTGTAGATTGTCAGTTTACTCTGTTTACAGTTTCTTTTGCAGTGCAGAAACCCTTTGGTTTAATTAGATCTCATTTGTCAATTTTTGCTTTTGTTGCAATTTCTTTTGGCATTTTAGTCATAAAATCTTTGCCCGTGCCTGTGTCCTGAATGTATTGTCTAGGTTGTCTTCCAGGTTTTTATAGTTTTAGGTTTTACATCCATCAATCAATCCATCCTGAGTTAGTTTTTTTGTATATGGTGTAAGGAAGGGGTCCAGTTTCAATTGTCTGCATATGGATAGCCAGTTATCCCAGCACAGTTTGTTGAATAGGGAATCCTTTCCCCATCACTTTTTTTTTGTCAGGTTTCCTAAAGATCAGATAGTTGTAGGTGTGTGGTTTTATTTCTGGGTTTTCTATTCTGTTCCATTGGTCTATGTGTTTGTTTTTGTACCAGTACCATGCTGTTTTGGTTACTGTAGCCCTGTAGTATAGTTTGAAGTCAGGTAACATAATGCCTCCAGCTTTGGTTTTCGGTTTTTGTTTTTGCTTAGGCTTGCCTTGACTATTTGAGCTCTTTTTGGGTTCCATATGAATTTTTAAATTTAAAACTTTTGGTTCCATATGATTCTTCTAGTTCTGTGAAGAATCTCAATGATAACTTAATACAAATATTACTGGATCTATAAATGGCTTTGAGCACTATGGCCATTTTTAAGATATTGATTCTTCCTATTCATGATCATGGAATATTTTTCCATCTATTTGTGTCATCTCTAATTTTTTGAGCAGTGTTTTATAGTTCTCCTTGAAGAAATTGTCCACCCTCCTAGTTAGCTGTATTCCTAGGTATTGTGTGTGTGTGTTTGTGTGTGTGTGTGTAAACTGTAAATGAGATTGCATTCCTGATTTGGCTCTCAACTTGACTGTTATTGGTATATAAATGCTAGTGATTTTTGCACATTTATTTTGTATCTTGAGTCTTTGCTGATGTTGTTTATCAGCTTAAGAAGATCTCAGGTTGATGTTTGGGTTGATGTTTTCTAGATACAGGATCATTTCATCTGCAGCAAAGATAGTTTGACTTCCTCTCTTCCTATTTGAATACGCCTTATTTTTTTCTCTTGCCCAATTGCCCTGCCTAGTATTTCCAATACTGTTGAATAGGAGTGGTGAGAGAGGGCATTCTTGTGCCAGTTTTCAAGTGGATTGCTTTCAGCTTTTGCCCATTCAGCATGATGTTGGCTGTGGGCTTGTCATAAATGGCTCTTATTATTTTGAAGTATGTTCCTTCAATACCTAGTTTAATTAGAGTTTTTAACAAGAAGTGATGTTAAATTTTATCAGAAGGCTTTTCTGCATCATTAATATAATCATGTGGTTTTTTGTTTTAGTTCTGTTTATGTGATGAATCTGTTTATTGATTTGTGTACGTTGAACCAATTTCAGGCTCATTATTGGTCTGTTGAGGAATTCAATTTCATCCTGGTTCAGTCTTGGGAGGCTGCACGTGTCTGAGAATTTACCCATTTCTTTTAGATTTTCTAGTTTATGTGCATACACGGGTTCATTATATTCTCTGATGGTTGTTTGTATTTCTCTGGGGTCAATGGTAATATTCCCCGTGTCATTCGTGATTGTGTTTATTCGAGTCTTCTCTTTTTTCAATTAGTCTAGCTAGCAGTCTATTTTATTATTTTTTTCAAAAAACCAGCTCCTGGATTTGCTGATCTTTTGAATGATTTTTTTGTGTGTGAAGGAACCCAATCTCCTTCAGTTCAGCTCAGATTTTGGTTCTTTCTTGTATTCTGCTAGCTTCGGGGTTTGTTTGCTCTTCGTTCTCTAGTTCTTTTAGTTGTGATGTTAGGTCATCACAACTAATGTGATGTGGACATTTAGTGCTATATATTTTCCTCTTAATACCCCCTTAGCTGTGTCCCGGAGATTCCGGCATGTTGTATCTTTGCTCCCATTAGCTTGTAATAACTTCTTAATTTCTGCCTTAATTTCATTATTTACCCTGATGTCATTCAGGAGCAGGTTGTTTAATTTCCATGTAATTGTATGAGTTTAAGTGAGTTTCTTAGTCTCGATTTCTAATTTGATTATGCTGTGGTCAGAGAGTGGTTTGTGCCAATTTCAGTTGTAACAAACTGAATTTGCTGAGGAGTCTTTTGCTTCCAATTATGTGATTGAATTTAGAGCATGTGCCATGTGGTGATGAGATGAATGTAAATTCTGGTTTGGGGGTGTGGAGAGTTCTGTAGATATCTATCGTGCTGAGTTCAGGTCCTGATTATCTTAGTCAATTTTCTGTCTTGATGATCTGTCTACTATTGTAAGTGGGGTATTAAAGTCTCCCACTATTATTGTGTGGGAGTCTAAGTCTCTTTGAAGGTCTTTACAAATTTCTTTTATGAATCTGGGTGCTGCTGTGTTGGATGCATAGATATTTAGGAAAGTTAGATCTTCTTTTTTATTTATTTATTTATTTATTTATTTATTTTTAATTATACTTTAAGTTTTAGGGTACATGCGCACATTGGGCAGGTTAGTTACATATGTATACATGTGCCATGCTGGTGCGCTGCACCCACTAACTCGTCATCTAGCATTAGGTATATCTCCCAATGCTATCCCTCCCCCCTCCCCCCACCCCACAACAGTCCCCAGAGTGTGATATTCCCCTTCCTGTGTCCATGTGCTCTCATTGTTCAATTCCCACCTATGAGTGAGAATATGCGGTGTTTGGTTTTTTGTTCTTGCGATAGTTTACTGAGAATGATGATTTCCAATTTCATCCATGTCCCTACAAAGGACATGAACTCATCATTTTTTATGGCTGCATAGTATTCCATGGTGTATATGTGAAAGTTAGATCTTCTTGAATGGAATGAATGGAATTCTCATGGGAACATGATCAGGGTTCTAAGATCCATGAAGGTGTCAGTTTGAGTGATACACATTTTTTTTTTTTTGAGACAGAGTCTAACACTGTCGCCCAGGCTGGGAGTGCAGTAGGGCAGTCTCAGCTCACTGTGACCTCCTACCTCCCAGGTTCAAGCGATTCTCCTGCCTCAGCCTCCCGAGTAGCTGGGATTACAGGTGCTTGCCACCATGCCCAGCTAATTTTTGTATTTTTAGTAGAAACGGGGTTTCATCATGTTGGCCAGGCTGGACTCAAACTCCAGACTTCAGATAATCTGCCGGCCTCTGCCTCCCAAAGTGCTGGGATTACAGGCGTGAGCCACTGCACCCTGCCTTGAGTGATATACTTTTTTATCTGCAACAACAGACTCTTAGAGATCATCACAGGTAGCTGGAGAAAAATGTAAGACCAGACCATTTGTAATTTCCCTTGGTCCAGACAATTGTTGGTCCTATGAGAAACTGAATCTGGTACTTTCTCAATGTGAACTAGGAATAGTTTCACTTCATAGGAAATTGCAACCTACTTATTTTAGAAAACTGAGTGATATTAGAGTATCACATCCTGTTTGTACTTCTCCATGGGGTGTAGAAAAAAAGACAAAAAGGGTTTTGTGTGATACTTGGGAGATGTGAGCTTTTATAAAGACAAATATATATATACACATATATATACACATGTATAGTTACTATTATAAGTATCTGGCATGAGAAAAGAGACAGGGAACCAAGATTCTTCTTTATAACACCTTTTTCTGACCAAGAATCGAACAGAAACACATACTTCTTCTCCTCAGACACCAAGACTCAGGGCTGTCTCCTTGCTCTCAGGCCAGTAAGGAGTCTCCACTTTCCACCTGTAGTTCTTACAGATGAAGCCCAGTTGTCCCTACATGCCTATATATACAATCACATTTATAGGTGTTTTAAATTTCAAAATCTCTAAAACGTGGGCCTCTTCCATTTTGTACTTGAGTTTATATTGCTAAGATGCATGCCTATTAATTTTTAGTTCCATATTATTATTATTGTTTTCAACTTTTATTTTAGAATGCGGGGGCACATAACGCAAGTTTGCTAGAAAGGTATATTGCGTGATGCTGAGGTTTGGAGAACGAATGAATCCGTTGACCCAGGTAGTGAGCATAGCGCCCAACAGGCACTTTTTCAGCCCTTGCCCTCCTCCCTCTCTCCCCACTCTAAGTGTCTCCGGTGCCAGGGCCAGACTCTGTCTCAAAGAAAAAAAAAATCACAGGAAACATCCTGTTGTTATAGGCATTGACAAAGTGTTTACAGCTAAGTCCTTGAACGCAATTAAACAAAAATAACAACTGATGAGTGGGACCTCATTAACCTACAGATCCAGTGAAGGCCTAATATTCAGAATCTAGAAGCAACTTACACAAATCAGCAAGCAACAAACAAACAGCCCCATTAGAAAGTGTGCAAAGGACATGAACAGACACTTATCTATGTCCACATGTGCCCAGTGTTTAGCTCCTGCTTACGAGAATGTGCTATGTTTGGCTTTCTGTTTCCACATGGCATCACTTAGGCTAATGACCTCTAGCTCCATCCATGCTGCTGCAAAGGACATGATTTCCATTTTGATTGCTGTGTAGTATTCTATGGTCCATATATCCAATCCATTGTTGGATGAACACCTGGGTTTATTCCACATCTTTGTTATTGGGAATGGTGCTGCAATGAACATATAGGTGCATCTGCCTTTTTGGTAGAATAATTTATTTTCCTTTGGGCATATACCTACCAATGGGTTTGCTAGGCCGAATTGTAGTTCAACTCTTAGTTCTTTGAGAAATCTCCCAACTGCTGTCCACAGTGGATGAACTAATTTACGTTCTCACCAACACTTGTTCCATTTTCTTTGCAGCCTTACCAGCATCTGTTATTTTTTGACTTTTTAATAATAACTATTCTGAGTGGTGTGGGTATCTCATTGTAGTTTTAATTTGCATATCCCTACTGATTAGTCATATTGAAGATTTTTTGATATGCTTCTTGGACATATGTGTGTCTTCTTTAGAAAAGTGTCTGTTCACGTCTTTTGCCCACTTTTTAATGGGGCTGTTTGTTTTGTGCTTGTTGATTTGTGTAAGTTGCTTACAGATTCTGAATATTAGACCTTTGCTGGATCTGTAGGTTTATTAGGTCCCACTCATCAATTTTTGCTTTCGTTTAATTGCTTTTGAGGACTTAGCTGTAAATACTTTGCCAATGCCTGTATTAAGGAAGATGTTTCCTATTTTTTTTTCTTTGAGATGGAGCCTGGCTCTGCTGCCGAGGCTGGAGTGCAGTGGTGTGATCTCGGCTCACTGCAACCTTTCCCCACCAGGTTCAAGCGATTCTCCTGCCTCAGCTTCCCAAGTAGCTGGGATTACAGGCACCTGTCACCATGCCAGGCTACTTTTTTTTCTTTTTTGTATTTTTATTAGAGACAGGGTTTCACCATGTTTTCTTCTAGGATTCTTATAGGTTTAAATCTTACATTAAAGTATTTAATCTGTCTTGATTTAATTTTTGTATATGGTGATATGTAGGGTCTGTCCAGTTTCATTCTTTTGCATATGGCTAGCCAGTTATCACAGGATTATTTTTTGAATAGGCCTGTTTTTGTTGGCCTTGTTAAATATCAGATGGTTGTAGGTGTGTGGCTTTATTCTGTTTCATTGGTCTATGTGTCTGTTTTTGTACCAGTGCCATAATGTTTTGGTTACTGTAGCCTTGTATTATAGTTTTTTTAAAAATGTATTTTATTTCAATAGATTTGGGGTACAAGTGGTTTCTAGTTGTATGAATGAATTGTATAGTGGTGAAGCCTGAGATTTTACTACACCCATCACCCAAGTAGTGTACATTGTACTTGGTACATAGTATTTCATTACTCACTCTCCACCCCCTCTCTCCCTTCTGGGTCTCCAGTGTTCATTACACCCCTTTACATGTCTTTGATTACCCATAACTTGGCTCCCACTTATAAAGTGAGAGCATATGGTATTTGGCTTTCCATTGCTGAGTTAGTTCACTTAGTGTCATGGCCCCCAGCTTCATCCAAGTTGCTGCAAAAGACATTATTTCATTTTGTTCAATGGCTGAATAGTGTTTTCTTGTGTATATGTGCCACATTCACTCATCAGCTGATGGACACTTACGTCGATTCCACATCTTTGCAATTATGAATTTTGCTGCAATCAACATTTGTATGCAAGTGTGTTTCTGATGTAATGATGTCTTTTCCTCTGGGATGTACACATTTGTTGACTGCAGTGGGATGCTAGTGGGTGCAGGGGTGCTGGCCTCCATGTCGGTGTTCAATGCGGTGGCGTCAGCAAGACTGGGTGGGGTGTGCGGGAGCCCCGCAGGCGTTCGTGTGCGCATTTGCACCGGTAGTGGTGTTAGCAAGGTGGCGGGGCTCCGGCCTCATGGGACTGTGTGCACCCTCTGTGTGCACTTCCACGCTGGCAGCTGCTGCTGTTTGCGGTGGGGGTGGATCCGCTGGTCTCCCTGTGTGTGATCACACCGGTGGTAGTGTTGGCGCCGGGAGGGTGGAGGGCAGGTGGGTACTGGACAGGGAATCTCTGTACCCACGAATGCTCTGACAGCAGTCCCAGTGCTCGGGGGTCGTTGGGTGAGTGGGTGAACTCACACCGGCAGCTGTGGCACTGCGAGGTGCACGTGCAACACACATGCCGTTGGGGAGGGGAGAGAAGGTCTGCTCAGGAGCACATAATGCTGGCAAAGCCCTGGCGGCAGTGGCTGTGGGCGAGCGAGTGCAAGCAAAGTGGCTCGGGGACACTGAGGTGGGGCGAGGGAGTGGGGCGGGCTGGTGAAGTTTGCAGGAGTGAGATACACTATGTGAGATTTCCTCGGTTATAAATAGCCTTGGGGTTTTGGCTTTCTCAAACACCAGCTTTGGTAATGAACCGGCCATGTGAACAGACTCAGGACCTCTTGGTTATCCAGGGGGTTGCTGGCAATGGTGATAGCTGAGGACATGCACACGTGTTCTCCTTCCTGGGTGCTGTGTTATTGAGCCTGCGGATGCTGTCCTGCACGGTGTCAGTCGGCCTCCAGCCCGGAGGCAGCGGTTGCAAAAGCGCTCCACATCTTTGCAATTATGAATTTTGCTGTGTTGGTCTTCATGGGCTTTTTGCCTTCCTTATGTTACGCAAGGGAGGCTGTCCGGTGTCTCAGGCAAAGGGCGAGGCCATTGAGCTCCCGAAAGTCTTTGTCCTTTGTGTTAACCTACCAGGGTGGGGGTATGGGCAGAGGCAGGTGCGGGCTGGGTCAGCCTAGTCCGTGCTCTCGCTTTCCAGGTGCTAAGTGGGTTCAAGCGAACCCTCCCCAGTAGCTGGAATTACAGGCGCACACCACACGCCAGGTTAATTTTTGTATTTTCAGTAGAGACGGGTTATTGTCATGTTGGCCAGGCTGCTTTTGAACTTCTGACCTCAAGTGATCTGCCTGCCTCGGCCTCCCAAAGTACTGGGACTACAGGTGTGAGCCACTGTGCCTGGCCGAAGATGGAACTCTTATTTCCAATATTGGAACTGTCAAATAGGACCTTTATTAGTGGAATTCTAGGAGAGAAGGAGGCACCGTGTTAAATGGGGCTCACACCTCCCACATCATCCCCCAGGCCTGGGCTCTGAGAGGCAAGATGCCCCGAAGAGCAAACCTCCTTCCTGAGGGCAGAGCCTGGGGCTGGGGCCCCTGAGTGTCCCCTCACTGTTACCACCAGCTGCAGGGGGTCTCTGAGTGCTCACCTGCCAGCAGGACTGAAATACTCACAGCAATATTCCCCTGCATGGTGCTTTGTCCTGAGTGAGACGGAGGACTCACGCTGTCCTGGGCTTCGGCGAGCTCTGTGTGCTCCTGAACACTGGGCTTTCCTCTTTATCCAGACCACACTCCTGAGCTTCTAGGGTCTCCTGACACCAGAGGGCCACGGGCCTCCCCTAGGTTATTACAGAGTCTGGTTCAGCCCTGAACGTGGGTTTGGGGAGGGTCCCTGGAAGGAAATCAGAAACTGGGTCCTATATCATTTACCACCCCTCAGATCCCAGCTTTCAGCCCAAGATCCCCCCATGATCCCTCTCAGTCAGCCCAGAGTTGCTGTTCTCCAGCCCCAGCTGCCCGGGGGTGGGACCCTGTCCCCGGTGAGGAGGAGGGACCTGGGACAGCTGGGGACAGACTCACCTGCCTGTACGCAGGTCCTGAGGCCCAGACTCAGCCCTGGAAGAGAGTTCCCGCTGAGAGATTTGCCCCTGAAGCCTGGGCAGGTCCTCTCCTTCCTGAGATCTTCCCTAATCCCCTGGGGTCTCCTACTGGACCAGGGCCTAACTGTGGGGCAGGGTCCCTCTCATGCTAGAATCTCCCATTCCCCTTGTCAAATCTCAGTGAAGTGGACCATGGCCGTGTGGGTGAGAGTCATGATGTTTCCTCCTACTGGCCCCGGCTGTGTGGGTGGATAAGACCATGGTGTCCACAGAACACACACACAAAGGAAGGGTTCTCTCCCTTACAGGATTTTCCCACCAGCATCTCCATGGGTAGTGTACTGTCCCGGACCCCGCCACGAGCCTGGCTCTTGTTTTCCTAGTGCTTGGCCTGAGACAGGTACCAGGCTTTCTGTTGATATTTCAGACACACATGGGGTCTCTCCTCATCTCCTTTCACTGTCTGCCTGTCCTGTCCTCTTCTCATTAAGGGCCAGGACGTGGCTGCAAATGGACGTGGTGCCTTCCTGAGTTGGTCCCTTCCAGGTGAAGGCAACGGAGGGTTCTTCCTTCCTCTCAGAGCCTCCTCATGGGGTTTCACTCTCTCCTTCAGCTCACCCATAAACACACTCTTGTGGGGAAACTACCATGGCCAGTCTTCTCACCAGTCCTGGGGAAGCTTCAGGGAAGATGCAAATTCAGGCTGCGGGGCAGACTCACATCAGCAGAGACTCATCTCACATCTTGCTCTGCAGTTCCAGTTGAGCTTTATTGCGGCAATGAACAGAAAGGGGAAATACAGGGAGACAAGGGAAGGAATCATGTCTCTTTTCCCAGAACTGGAGTGTGGGTTTTCTTTATGCAAAAACGTTCCCTTCACGAACTTCTCATTGACTCATCGCAACAGCATCCGCCCCCGTCTCCCTGGAAACAACATTGACCTGACTCTGCCTTCTTGGTGCCCCCGTCTTCTTTCAAACACTCCTGTTCCCATCCTGTGCTCCTGAGTTCAAGGTTCTGGGACAATACGTGGGGTTAGCACTCTGCTTTGAGGGGAAATCTTGTCTTTATTTAAATATTCTTGTGTCACCCCCTGCCTGTGTGAACTTGGGCAGTAACCTCCCATCTCTGAGCCTTGGTTTCCTCATTTGGAGCCTGTCATGAACCCCATTTATCACAGGGGAGCTGGGTCATTGGAGCCTGGGGGCTGCAGGGGGCTCAGCCATGGGTAATTTCCAGAGCAGGTGAAGACAGGAGGGGTGGGGGCATGAGGGGATGCTGGCGCCCACCATCAAGGCCTGAGATTGATGTTTCCACTAAGGAGAGCCCCTTTGTTCCTGCCCTTGAGAGATGCTTCTCATAATATTTCATCAACACCCCGGTTATCACAGTCATGTCCAGAAAATGAGAAATGAAAGTTCATCAGAAGGAGAAGGATACACACGAAACAGAGAGGGCATCTGTGTCTGGTGCCATTAGGGGTCATTAGGGAGGAAGTTTCCATTTCTGTGCAGAACAGAAAAGGGGCCCTGGGTCCTCACAGGCAGAGAAGGGCCAGGGCTCTGGGCAAGGCTGAAAGCTGTGATGGAATATGTCTATTTACCGACCCAGGCCCATGGCCACCACTGAGCCAACTCCCCTGGGTGTGTGTGAAACAAATTCATTCACTGCAGAGTTCTTACATGTGGGTATCTGTATCATGTGTGGGTATGAGTTTTTTTTTTTTTTTTGAGATGGAGTTTTGCTCTTGTTGCCCAGGCTAGAGTGCAGTGGCATGATCTCCACTCACTGTAACCTCCACCTCCCAAGTGATTCTCCTGCCTGATTCTCATGACCAAGTGATTCTCCTGCTTCAGCCTTCTGAGTAGCTGTGATTACAGGTGCCCACTACCAGGCCTGGCTAATTTTTTTGCATTTTTAGTAGAGACGGGGTTTTGTCATGTTGGCCAGGCTGGTCTTGAACTCCTGGCCTCAAGTGGTCTGCCCACTTCGACCTCCCAAAGTGCTGAGATTACAAGCATAAGCCACCGTGCCCGGCCATGAGTGTGAATTTCACATGCATTTTTTTCCTTCTGGGAGCAACCTGAGCAGACACTATGTTTGGGAAATGAATGCCACGTGTCATCAGTAGCTGGAACAGTCCCCCATTTTCAGTCCTGGATTACTAAAAACTGCCTTGAGAGGATCCCTCCATGGTAGCTCAGGAGTGTAGGAGGTGAGTGTCCAACAAAAATAGACAACCAAGAGCCATCCTTCTAATGATAAAAAGTGCTATGATCATCAGTCTACACATTTGTTGATAAGGATTATTATGTGCAAAGAAATAGAATACTAGGAACGCATAAGACCCTTTTTCAATTAAACATGTTTAAATATCTGAAAAAAATACAAGAGGAAATTAAATTTCTGAGACAAGAATATGGATTATACTGGCAAAAAATGAGCATCAGAGAAATGAGTTAGAAATCCTAGAGGCAAAAATTCAGTTGAAGAAGCACACTCAAAATATTTATTCTATCAAGGTCAAGATACAGCTAAAGAGACATTTATTAAATTGGAAAACAAAATTGGGAGAATTTTCCAGAATGCACTATGGAGACACCAAAAGTGAAAATTCACCATATTTGGGGGAATATTGTGAGGAGGGAGAACCTCATATCTATTGTACGTGTCAGAAGGAAAGAAGGGAGAATAATGTCTGGCAACAGCTCACGAATTAAAGAGTTGAACATTTGACAGAGACGAGGAAAGACTAATTAAGTGCTAAGATGCATACATTTAAACATGCAATGTAAACCTTGACCTACCATGATAAATTGAAAAATACCAGAAGTAGATTAAAAAGTATATATGCTAGACTGAAATTGTCTAGCATAAATTGTATAGTTTAAAACACATTTTTGTGTCCTGTGATTTTCAACTCAACATGTCAGTAGAATAGCATGATCACTGGGATCGGACTTCCCAACAGAAAAATGAAAGGCAAGGAAATGTTGAAAATGTACTCTCAAGGGATTAACAGCAAGTGAGGAACTCTATGCTTACTCAGGTTAATACCTAAAAGTTAAAGGGGTCAGCAGGGGACCAATTCCTAAGCAGAAAAAGGCTCAGAGCAAGACAGACCTGTGAAGCCCATTAGGTTGGGCTTCCCCTGCATGAGGGCTGAGGAGGGATTGGAGGGTGGATCCCTCAATCATCAGATGTGCTTTCTCTTCCAGGTGTTATATCTTACCCTTTAATTAATATAGAAATGTTTTCATCTATTTTGATAGAGAAAGTGGGAGGAAAAATAAAGCATTATCTGAGCTGCAAGTTACTAGATATTACTGTTTTCATACTCAGTGAAAGCAATTTTAAATGATGTTATCCAGATAGATCAATGAATCCAAAATGTAGGATGTGAGATGCCGGTGATGAAAAGTGGGAAACAGGCAAGTATTTGAAAATTGCATGCACGCACACACACGAATGTAACTACACACACATATAAGAGTACATGTCTTTTCTAAAGGACAAGGATAAATGAATCTTCATTCAAAAATATATAATCGAATACTTAACTAAATTCATGAAATTATTCTAAATTATTCATTTTTTACCCCGTATGTTAAAGAGTGATTCCCCTACTCAGGATGAGTTAAATAGCCCAACACCCCCAATAACACATTAGGCATGAGACACAATAGTATCATCTAATATAAAATCATAATTTAAAATCAGTAAGGGAAGAAAGACATGCTGTTAAAATTATCTATTAGAAACATTAATAGTCCACAAAATGTAACATAATACAAAACTTTTTTGAAAATAGTGAAGTTTTATGTTTTAATGAAGGTATTAAGTGCTGGGTACGGTGGCTCACACCTGTAACCCAGCACTTTGGGAGACTGAGGTGGGAAGATCACTTGAGCCCAGGAGTTCAAGACCAGCCTGGGCAACATAGTGAGACTCATCTGTGTTAAAAAAAAAAAAAAGAGAGAGAGACGGTATAAAAAATGATAAAATAATTGTAAACTTTCATTCATCTAACCATGGGTTATTGAAATATATACAACATAAATTTGTATATATTTGGTGATTCAAAGAAATATTTATCAAGAACTGAGAGGTTAAGAAAAAAAATGAATGAGTATACAACTTAATGTTCAATCTGAATTACATACATATGGTAAAACTCTCTAGTTACATATGTTATAGGGTTTGTATATAGAAAAACAAATTCTATGTATGTATACATATATATGTTAATTTGTGTATATATTTACCTATTATGTACATAAGCACTATATGTATACACACACGGTATATATGTGTGTAGATGTGTAAAGAAATGTTACACAGTTTGTATGGAAAAAGAATTCACATATATATTCTGATATATTGTATACATACACTTACTCTAGGTGTTATGTGTGTATATATTTACATATTGCATACAAATACATTATATGTGGATATATAGTATGTGTAGATGCCACTGTACAGTATATATGTGTGTGTGAGTATATATATGTGTGTATATTAATGAACACATACCTCAAAGGGGGGAATGCCCATATTTATGACATACATTGCACGTAAAATGTTAAGTATTTACTGGACAAGGAAGGAAAAATCTCCAAATTTTTCTAAATGACTATCTTATACATTTTATTCCCAGACATGATTGTTATTTAGTTTGAAGTTAACAATAAAAAGATATTATGAGAAAACCTCAATATTGCTCAAAATTAATAAAATCCTCAGTCATTTTGTACGATATATATTTGAATTCATGATGTACTAAGAAATATTTTGCTAGATGGGTGTTTGTATTTTATATTGTTTGGATAATTATTTTACTTTTTAAGGCATATGAAGAATTCCATTTCCATTTTATGAAATAGGAGTCCTGAGGAGATTGCCATGGATCCAGCAAGGAATTTCTGGCAGAGGAAAGTAGACAGCAGTACTGGGAAAAATCACTGTATGAAAAACCGAGGAAGAAGGAATTAGGGCTCCCGGATGGGGTGAAGACCCACCTGCAGAGTGTCTCCGAGCCCTGAGAGTGGAGCAGTGTGTTCAGGACCCTGAGCCTGTGGAAGGAATCTTCTCTGAGATGTGAGTCTATGGAATGTGTGTTGTAAGACCTGCCTTTTCTTAGTATAATCCAGCAAAAGCCCATGGGTGAGGACTCAGTTTTATTTTAGGGGATGTGGGGACAGTATATTTTCTATTCATATTTATGCAAATTTCATAGTGCTTGTCAGTCATGTAGAAAGCAGAGGTCAGTGTGTTCACAGGATTCATACCCAAGAGTCTGGAGACACACGTGGGGTCCATGGGAAAGGCTGGTGGCCAGGTATGGCGGGAAGGTAATCAGCGACAGACGCCAGAGTCTCCTGCTTGATCTTGCCGAAATCTGGCTCAAATGTTTGGCCTGGCACAACCAAACTAGAACTTGGAAGATGCTGTATAGGTAAAACATAATATTGTAATCATTCATATTCTGTTAAGGCTTTGAAAATGTCCTTAATAAGATTTCTTTATTCTAGAGGGTAGATGGCAAATGATAACATTTCTTTATTCTGGAGGGTAGATGATGAATGATAAGATTTCTCTATTCTAGAGGGTAGATGGCGAATGATAAGATTTGTTTACTCTAGAGGGTAGACGGTGAATGATAAGATTTCTTTATTCTAGAGGGTAGATGGCGAATGATAAGATTTCTTTATTCTAGAGGGTAGATGGTGAATGATAAGATTTGTTTACTCTAGAGGGTAGACGGTGAATGATAAGATTTCTTTATTCTACAGGGTAGATGGCGAATGATAAGATTTCTTTATTCTAGAGGGTAGATGGTGAATGATAAGATTTCTTTATTCTGGAGGGTAGATGGCAAATAGCTGCTCCCTTTGTCCTAGAAAGTTGAGGACTATTTGATCCCTCATGTTTTTCAGGATCCTCCCTCCAAATATTCCATCCTATGCAGCAGGGTTTTACATCCTTCAAACACAACAGTGGTCTTGGACCTAGACATGTTGAACTCTTTAATGCTAGGACTCAAGTCCTCTTGCTGTTTGCGACAATTCAGAAAAGAATCAGCCCCAGTCATTTTGCATACTTCTGCCTGACTGTCCTAGGTGAGTAGAAAAAAACAGCTCAACTGCTTGTCAAGATTCATCGACCTGAGGTCTTGTCTGCAGCTGGATTTCTATCCTGCTTCCGTGATTTTCCTTTCGTGGATCACCAACACACTGCAAATGCCTATCATTGCTTTTGACGTGGTGTACTTTGGTTCTGCCTGGAAAGGCAGGAAGTCTCGAAGTGAGGAGCTCACAGGTCAAAGGAGATTGAAATGTTTTCAGACAGAATAGGCAAATCCGTAGAGACAGAAAGCACATTTGTGGTTAGCAGGTGCTGGAGGGAAGAGGGAATGGGGAGTGGCTGCTGAATGGGTGTAGGGTGATGACCATGTGTGGAACAGGATGGCAGTGATGGTTACACAATGATCTAAGGAGAAGCTGCACAGGTAGCATGTGAGAAGGAGGGAAGGGCTCGTAGGGTTCAGAGAGGGTGTCAGGGCATCAGGGTGGATTTATCTTTTCCTGGTTGAAATCCGATACTCTCCCATTGATTTAGTTACTGAAGCACGTTTGGAACTCTGAATTGAAGAGATGGAGGCTCAGTAAAGCACACCAGGGAGTATGGCAATGAGTAATAAAGAAGACTGTGTTACACACCATGGACCAGAGCACACAGATGTGCAGAGGTGTGGACCCAACGCTGCCATGTGGGATGTAGCCTCATGTCTGTCTGGGGGTGGGGAAAGAAGAGGATCCAACCAAGGGAAGTCAACATTAATAGAGAGGAAAGGTATCACAGGTTAATGGTCCTTCATGGATCACTCCAGAAAATGTCTCTGCAATCCAACACTGATTCCTCCCTCTAAAAATGATTGGCAGACAGTCCAGATAGCATCAGCCCTAAATTGTCTCCCGGAACCTCCTGGCATCATCAGATCTGTTCCCAAGGCTCCACCACTCTGAAGGGTACATTCTTCTCTCTGCTGTTCACCTCCCGGCTGCATCTCAGAGGCTTCTCTGGCTGTGCTGAGCCTCAAATAGCAGAATCCCGAGGACCACCAGGACCAAGCCAGCTATGCCCATGCGGATGAGATTCTCCACTGTGTAATCCTGGGGGTGTGAGGCTGGGGATGGTGGGCAAAGAGGTCACAGAGGTCAGGGCAGATCAACTTCACCCAGGACCTCTGGATGTCCACCCAGAGCACCTCCTTACCCTTGACAGGACCCAACCCTTGTGCCCAGCACCGTAAACGAGAGCATCTCCTCACTCACCAGTCTTGTTTTGTGATGGGCTGAGGGTGTTAGCTGCTCCTGAGAATAAAAACAGAGGGGAAGAGCCCTGAGCCAGCCTCTCCCCTGGGCTCTGCATTCTTATCTTCCCCTATGTCTTCTGACATGAGTTCTAGGGAGTTCCTCAATAAACCCTTCCTGTGTAGCAGGGTTCCCTCCAGTGTCCTTATTGAATTATTTCAGATTTCTTGCATTCTAGAAATTCGAATGTTACTCCTGAGGCATTTGGGGAGGGCGTTTTCCTGCACTCTGGGAGCTCAGGATCTGCAAAGGAATACAGAAGTCACTGAGCCCTGTGCGCTGTCTGTGCAGCCAGGGACACAGGAGCACATGAGCCAATTCCCCCAGAGATGAGAGTTTCACTTATCCACCAGCGGAGGACCCAGGCTCCATGCATGGGAGGTTGGTCTGCAGGGGCTCCCCAGTGTCAGAAGCACAAAGGGGTGAAAGTCTGGGGGTGCTTCTTCTTCACACAGCCTCAGCCAGTTCACCTGGGGTTTCATCTTCCATTTAATCTCTAGTTAACTAATTCCTCATATAGGCAGTAACACCTAGAATGCAATACAGTTTCCCACATTCACACACACATACAAACATATATATATATATGCTAAATGGAGATGTCACTCAAGGTTCATAAATCAGTATTTGTTTTTATGAAGTGTGAATCTAGGTGAATCTAGACCAGGAACAAACATGTAAACACCTACCGCATCAAATATATTAAGCATATGCATGAATATACATCAAATGAATTTGGATATACTTACACACATATTCAAAAGTATCTTACTTAACCACACATAAATATGTATATATGTAAAACTTCAGATATTTATTTAAGATGTAGTAACATATATATTGACATTTAAAGTGAGAAATATTGGCACATAATTTAGAAATAAAGAAGTAAAATTTCCCATTGTCTTACGGTTTATACAAATTGTATTAGTAAATTAGAGGAGATCCATTGAAAAGCAGTTAGAACAGAGCAATTTAGTAGTGAGTTAGCATGAAATACAATGAATATACTCAAAGCAGTAGCTTTCTCATGGATAGTTATCTCTTATTTTAAAAATGTAAAGGAATGAAATACTTCACTTATAAATCATTAAAGGTGTTGAAGAATTCTTTAAATTAGAATGAATGTAATTTTTTAAAATGTCCACCCAGGACACCCAGCTCCCCTTGACAGGACCTGACCCTCTGTGCCCAGCGTCATCACGGCAAGCATCTCCTCACTCACCAGCCTTGGAATCGGACTTGTTTTGTGGTGGGCTGAGGGTCTCAGCTGCTCCTGAGAATCAAAACAGAGGAGAAGAGACATATTCAGAGGTAACTTATATAACAAATTCTATATAAGATTATGTATAACTTATATAACCTCCCTGTCAAGGAGAGGTGGGTGTCCTGGGTAGACATTTAAAAAATTATATTCAGGCCAGGCACAGTGGCTCATGCCTGTAATCCCAGCATTTTGGGAGGCTGACGTGGGCAGATCATGAGGTCAGGAGTTCAAGACCAGCCTAGCCAACATGGTGAAACCCTGTCTCTACTAAAAATACAAAAATTAGCGGGGCATGGTGGCGGGCGCCTGTAATCCCAGCTACTCGGGAGGCTGAGGCAGGAGAATTGCTTGAAACTGGAAGACGGAGGTTGCAGTGAGCCAAGATTTCACCACTGCACTCCAGACTGGGCAACAAGAGCAAAACTCCATCTCAAAAAAAATTTTTTTTAATTATATTCGTTCTAATTTAAAGAATTATTCAACACCTTTAACAATTTATAAGTGAAGTATTTGATTCCTTTACATTTTTTAAAACGAGAGATAAGTACTCATGAGAAAGCCACTGGTTTGGGTATATTCATTGTATTTCATATTAACCCACTACCAAATTGCCCTGTTCTAATTTAAATCTAAATTAACAATTTAAAGCACTTTTTTCATATAAAAGACGTTTATTTAGATGTTAGAATTATCCAGTGATTGGACAAGGTTGGGCATGAACCCCCCAGGCCCAGGGCTGAGCTGCACTGTAGCTCCCGCTGACCTCCCCCGGGTTTCTCATGCCACAGGGAGCCGCCCAGTCAGTTTCGCTCGGGCCATTGTGCTTTGAAACATCCAAACATTTCTGAAGTTCGTTAAGGAAACCTCGATTTTTAATATGTACAGGAGGAAGACTTGAGGTTAATGAAAAATGGATGTCTACATTGAATATATAAATTAAATCAAGCCCCAATGAAAGGCAAAGTAAAATTAAATGTTTTTAAATAATAGGTTCATATAATTGAAATAAAAAATATAAATTTATATATTGAAGTATTGCTTTAAAAGTTTTAGTAAAGGAGAGAGCATACATATAGAAAGCATACGTACAGAAAATACAGTGTAGAAATGAATGACATATGAGACGTGCTGTGAATCATTCCCTAACTCATCCAGGGAGCAGGTGCACGGTCCCTCCTTAGTCTCCGGGTGCCCTGAGTACAGAGCCTTGGTGGGATCTGACTGTGGTGAGGGTTGAGTCCACCCAAAACGTGCTCCTTTAGAGAGAAGCACTCCAGCTGTGGGTGCCGCTCACACGGCCCCTCCTGTGCTCACCTGGTGGGCTTGGGCTCAGGGCACCCCTGAGACTAAGGAGGGGCCGTGCACTTGCTCCCTGGCAAGTTAGGGAATTATTCACAGCACGTGTTGTGTATCACTCATTTCTGCTCGGGGTGGACTTCACCCTCATCACAGTCAGATCCCACCAAGGCCTCCTCTCTTGTCTTGAGATGGCCCAGGGACCCTACAGGTGTGGGTGAGGGGTTCATCCTCAGGGGCCCTTGGAAATGAGAAATGAGAGCTGCCAAGGGACCGTCTGTCTGTCCTCTTTCCAACTCGCCCGCCTCTGTTCCTCCTCCATCAGCCCCAGCATCTTCCACGTGTCCAAGTCAGGCTGGACCCCAAATCCTGCTGACCCGACCTGTTCTCCCTCTTCTACTCGTCACACATCCTGCAGGACAAGGTCGGGGTGTGGGGTCCTGCAGAGCTGTGCCACGTGTTGCTTTCAGTAGAAAATTGGAGAGATTTTGTTATGTACATGAGACAGTGGAGAGTCTCAACCAGAGGTGATGTCTCCTGGAATCCTGCTCGGGGAGGGGGAAAGACCCCGCTGCTCCACTCATCAATGCTGAACCTCAGACACCTCTCTCCCCTCTGAACACCACGGAGGGAACACCTGCCCCATCCCTGGAGCACCAGGAAGCCATGCAGACCACACCCTTACTGTCCACCCTCCCCTCTGCTGCCCTGGAAATCAGACCCTGAATATTAGAGGTAGCATTGAGATGAGTCTAGAAACTTCTTTAGAGCTGGGAGTGACTGGGTTTTTGTCACCCATGGGGTCAGGACTTAGAGGTTGGGATCCCCAGAGGCTCTGATTCTGAGGTGGAGACATCAGGAGGGGAGCAGGTGGGGCCTCTGTCTTTCACCCTCAGTCTACTCTCATCTCCTCTGAGGTTCACCCCCATCTCCTCCCAGCCTTCCCTGCTCTTTACCCTACTGAGACTACAAGGGTGGGAGCCAGGGGTGGGAGGCCCCGTCTATTTCCACCCTCCCATGGGCTCGACCCTCCCCCGCAGACCTTCCCCCTTCACTCCACTCTTTTCTTTTCCTTTTTTTTTGAGATGGAGTCTCGCTGTCTTGCCCAGGATTGAGTGCAGTGGCATGACATCAGCTCACGGCAAGCTCCGCCTCCCAGGTTCATGCCATTCTCCTGCCTCAGCCTCCCGAGTACCTGGGACTACAGACACCTGCCACCACGCTTGGCTAATTTTTTCTATTTTTTAGTGGAGACGGGGTTCACTGTGTTAGCCAGGATGGTCTCGATCTCCTGGCCTCCTGATCCACCCGCCTGGGCCTCCCAAAGTGCTGGGATTACAGGTGTAAGCCACCGTGCCCAGCCAACTCCCCTCTTTTCTTAGTGTCCAGAGCTCTCCTGGGGGGCAGGGCCTGAGCTGATCCTTTGAGCTCGGAGAGGACAGGGTCAGGGCCCTCACCTGAGACCATGAGCTCCAGGGAGTCACTGGGGTGAGACAGCAGGTAGGGGTTGGAGCTGAGTGAGCCGTAGCACCTGTAGGTCCCCGAGTGGGCTGAGGTCACAGGACTCATAGGGAATTCAGCCTGGTACTTAGGATATTCGTGTATTGATCTGAGACGGAGGGGGGCATCAGCTGCTCCCGCCTTGGTCAGAAGGAAAGTGTGGAACGGCCCCCATGACTGACACAGCAGGGTCACGTTCTCTCCTGAGGCCACCGTGGGGCCCGGATGCACCGAGATGAAGGGTCTGCCACGGAACTGTCCTGGAGAGAAGAAGGATGGGTGAGAGGCTGCCCCACCTTGTTCTGAGCTGACGCCTCCCCAGGCTTCTATCTGGGACCCTCAGTCTCTATCTCTGTTTTCTCTGAGTCTTCCCCGCCCCGCCCATCCCCTGTCTCTGTCTGTCTCTCCCTCCCTTGGGACCCCCACCCCTCATTCCGGCCATCACCACCTGGGCTCCCCTGGCAGGGCCTGTGCGGAGCCTGTGTCCCTGACTGAACCCGCTGGGCTCCTCACCTGCGATCAGGATGTCCAGGGGGTCGCTGGGGGCCGACCACTCGGAGGAGAGGTTGTATGCACCGGAGCATCTGTACTGGCCCCCGTAGGAGCGGCTCACAGGGCCCAGGGTGAAGTTGGCCTGGGAGAGCCCAGCCTGGGGCTGTGGGCCAGGGAGCTGGAGGAAGTCACGTTCTCCCTCCTTATACAGAACAAATCTGTCGTAGCTGACATCAGAAACACACTGGAGGGTCAGGCTCTCCCCAGGGGCCACTATAGGACCTGGCTGCACTGAGAGTGATGGCTTCTTAGAAACACCTGGGAAAAGGTGCTCATGGTTTCCAGGAGCCGACCCTCAGGCTTCCCCACATATCCTCCCTCTCCCCCGGGGCCTCACCACTGCTGATCTTCCTGTGTCTCCGGCCCCAGGAGCCCTGAGCCCTCTCGCCCCAACATCATCCCACCTGGAGCTGCCCTGAGACGTGGCTGCTCCCCACCTGCCTGGAGACTCAGGGAGACTCAGGGAACTCCAGGCAATGCTGTGAATTTCTCACCTAGGACCAGGAGCTCCAGGAGATCACTGGGTAGAGACCACACATGGGGAGAGTTCGAGTCATAAGCATAGCACCTGTACGACCACCTGCGACTCGGGCTCACGGGGCCCACAGAGAAGATGGCCCGGGACCACCCATGGGTACGGGGCTGTGAGTTCAGGCATTGTGGGTGTTCATCTTCTCCTTCCTTACACAGAATGAAGCTGCCAAATGCCACCTGTGAGACACAATGGAGGGTCACGTTCCCTCCTGAGGTCACCACAGGGCTGGGTAGAGCTGAGAGGGTGGGTTTGATGTAGGCTCCTAGGAGAGAAGGAGGCACCATGTTAAATGGGGCTCACACCTCCCACTTCATCCCCAGGGCTGGGCTGTGAGAGGGAGATGCCCCTGAGAACTGACTCCCTTCCTGAGGGCAGAGCCTGGGGCTGGGAGCCCTCAGTGTCAGCTCACCTGTCACCACCAGCTCCAGGGGGTCACTGGGCTCTGACCAGCCTGCAGTGTGGCTACCGTAGAAACAGCGATACCGCCCTGTGTGTTCCCAGGTGATGGATGGGATGGGGAACTGGCCCTTCTTCACAATCTCCTGTGGGATCCGTGTAATCCAGGGTGCTGTTTTCTTTTCTCTATACAGACGGTACTCCTGGGTCTCCAGGATCCCCTGACACCAGAGGGTCACGGGACTCCCCTGGGTGATCACAGAGCCTGGCTCAGCCCAGAGTGTGGGCTTGGGGAGGGTCCCTGGAAGGAAATCAGAGTTCAGATTCTAAGTCATTTCCCACCCAACATATCTCAGCTCTCAGCCCAGGACCCTCCAGATGCCCCCATCAGTCAGTCCAGAACTGCTATTCCCCATCCCCAGCTGCACGGGGGTGGCCCCTTGTCCCCAGTGAGGAGGAGGGACCTGGGAGAGCTGGGGACAGACTCACCTGCCTGCACGTGGGTCCGGGGGCCCAGACTCAGCCCTGGAAGAGAGTTCCCTGTGAGGAATTTGCCCCTGAAGCCTGGGCAGGTCCTCCCCTCCCTGGGATCTTTGTGAGCCCCTGGGGTCTCCTTAGGGACTAGAGGTCGGCTGTGGGGTGAGGTCCCTCCTAGGTTAGAAGCTCCCCTCCCTCTTCAAATCTCACTGAGACAGATCAGGACTGTGACGATGGGGGTCATAGCGTCTCCTCCCACTGCCCTGCTCTGCGGATGGATGAGCCCTCGGTGCTGGCAGGACAGAGACACACAGAGAGAAATAGCCTCCCCTCCTTCCCACCCAGTGTGGACACTCGGAGGCTGGGTCCTTCTCATGGGGTGTTGTCATCTGCAGCCACACAGGAAGCAGAACTACCCTACCAGGAGCCTGACTCTCATTCTTTTAGAGCTGAGGTGGGGGCAGGAACCAGGCCCTCTGCAGACATTTCAGACTGTAATGGGGTCTTTCCTGACCCCCAGCCACTGTCTGTCTGGTTTCTCCTCTTCTCACTGAGAGACGGGATGTAGCAGCAAATAGAACTGGTGCTTTCTGCGTCTGCCCTTCCAGATGAGGGTAACGGAGGCTTCCCTTTCCTTCTCACAGCCTCCCACATGGTCACCCTCCCTCCTTCAGCCATCCATCAGCTCAGCGTTGTGGGGTCCTTACCATGGCAGTCGTCCCTCCAGCCCTGGAGATGCTTCAGGGAAGACCAAGGTCCATGCTGCAGGCAGACTCAGATCAGCAGAGAAGCATCTCGCATCTGGCTGTGTAGCTCAGGTTGAGCTGCGTGTGGCAGTGAGCACAGAGGAGAAATGCAGGGAAATAGGGGAAGAAAAGTTGACTTCTTTCTTGACACTGGATTGTGGGTTTTCTTTCAACCAAATAGTCCCCTCTCAACTTCCCCTTTTTAAAATATTTTGCTACAGTGTCCACTCCCACCCGCTGGGAACAAACATCTGAGACTTTCCTGCCTCCTCGGTGCCCTTTGCTTACTTGGCCATCCCTCTGCACCTCAATCCCTGTTCAACGTTTTGAGAACAATGACTTATGTTTGAGCTTTGATTTGGGGAGTGGGGGAGGGAGTTGATATTTATTTGATGACTGGTTATCATCCGCTGCCTACATGACCTTGGTTTGTAATGTCCCATCACTGAGCCTCAGTTTCCTCCTTTGCAGATTGTTGTCATGAATCCCACTGGTCACAGTGGTTGTTGGGTCAGTGGTGCCTGGGACATTCGGAGGGGCTCATTTGTGCTTGATTTCCAGACCAGGGTAAGACCTGAACTGTTTGGGATGTGAAAGGATCTCGATGTTGGACCCCCCAGTCTGTGTAGATGATTGATGTGTCCACTCAGGATCTCACATCTGACCCTAATGGAGAAATGTACATGAGGCATTTCTGAAATACCCAGAGCATCAATGTCATGAGCAGAAAAAGAGGTGAGGAAGTTCCCAAGTGTAGGTGGATCCACAAGAAAGAACAGAGGCCAGAGGGTCCCAGGACCTTCAAGGGGTAATTAGAATGGAGTTTTCCACCACTGAATGGAGGTGGGAGAGGAACCTCGGGATCTGCAATGACAGTGAGGGCCTCAGGGCTCCAGACCAAGGTGGGAGGCTGCGTCCTCCAGCTACACCTGAGGCTGGAGTGGACCCCAAGCAGCCCAGAGGAATTCCATCAAAGGAGTGCACCAAACCGTCCAGTGATAGAGCTGCTGGGATTCCAAAGAAAGAAGCACTAAACACCAGGGTGTTCATAGAGCATTTGTTAGAGGGACTTCCATAGAGTGGGCCCTGCAGCATGTCCTGGAGGTAGACAAGGTGACACTGGGTGTTCTATCCAATGCTTTAACCTAAAATAACAAAACAAAACAAAAATCTAGAGAAAATTATCTCTAAGTACAGTTGTTCTTTGGTGTACAAGGGAACTGGCTCCAGTCCGTGGCCCACATGTCACAAAACCTGCCTGTACTCCAGCCCTGAAGCTGGCTCCACTGCACCATGTATAGGGAAAGTCTGCCATTCGTATACACAGGATTTGCATCCCACAAATGCCATAGTTATGATCCCCGTTTGGTTGAAGAGAGTGTGCATACAAGAGACCCCAGGAATTCAAGGCTGCATTGCTCCAGGGTTGCCTGGATTTTGCTTGTATTTGAGAATGAGAAGCAAAGATTACAATCTGGAGTGCATGGCATGGCAAGACACAGTGCATCCGGAGAGGGAAGTGTGATGTTGTGATACACACTGGTTTTCACCCGCGGTTCCTGGCTTATAACTCCATACCACTGGTTACAGTCTTTTGTTAGAGTATTGGCTGTGTTAGGCCTTAGGGGAGGCCTCTGACCTCCTCCTGCCCTTCCTTCACCTGCCCAAGGCAAGACTCGAATGTTCCCTGCCTTTCTGATGGTGGCTCTTAAGACCCTCCCAGAAGATGGTCTCACCCTGTTCCTTGTGGGAGGAAATGCTGATGTCACGAAGCTCCTTAAAAGCCCAAGAGGACTGGGTTTCATGGGCTTCTGGATGGCTGAGCATGCGGAGGTTCCTGGAGCGTGGCGCCCAGGGAGGGCATAGATGCTCCGGTCCCTTCCCCCATGCCTCCTCCTATGAGTCTCTTCATCTGTGTCCTCTGCAGTGTGCTTTGTATTCAACCAGTAAACGTCAGTGTCTCCCTGAGTTCTGTGAGCTGCTACAGCAAATTAATCAAACCCAAAGAGGTGGTCATGGGATCCCCAACTTGAAGCCAGTCAGTCAGAAGTTCTGGAGGTCTGGACTTGGGAATGGTGTGTGGGGGCAATCTTGGAGAATGGGCCTTCAATCTGTGGGATCTGGGACTGTGTCTGGGTAGACAGCTCGGAGCCGACTTAGAGGACACCCAGCTGCTGTTCGCTATTGGGTCTGGGAAACAATCCCACACATCTGATCCTACAAGTCTCCTGTGTTGATGACTGTTGTGGTGTGAGAGTAGAGGAAAAACATCATAGAGAGAGCTCTCTGTACATAGAGAGGTAAAGGAAATTCTTATCAGCAACAAGGGAGAGGCTGACAGAGCTGCTTAGAAGCAGAGTTCCCTGGTTCCAGAGGTTCAAAGCCAGAGTTGCTGTCAGTCCATTGGAGGAGATGCCATTGCTGGGCAAGTATTCTCTCGAGAGCAGCCTATCTGCATTCCTGATGTCCTAAAGAATATCTAGTAATAAACCATGTCAAAGCAGGAGAGGGGTGAAAGACATGGAAGAGTTTCTTATGGGGTTTTTAAAAAAGTCCTTAGAAACAGTTCTTATCTGAGACCTGGCAACACGAGCCTCCTCTCCGTCAGGCCTTCCTGGCCCTGTGGGGTCTGAGTTTAACCAAAGTCATCTCATCCTTGCTCATGTGACTTTCCTACTGGGTATCTGCAGTGAAGGGATTGAGTTACAAAGTTTAACCTGAGCGTTTCAGGAGTTTGGTTCAGGGCAGGGTTTGTTTCTACATAATTAACAAAGGGTTAATTTTTCAGTGTTTTCTAGAAACAATCTAAGGTGCTTTATCAGTACCTGGGAATGCTCAAGACCTCAGCTTGAGTTCAAGCCTGCAGGTGAAAACAGGCATCTGTCCAGCCCACAGAGCAGTCATGGCACTTTGTCTTTCTCTCAGAACAAAGGAAAAAGTGGAGGAAACCGTGGGATCCTAGAGAGACTGTGGCTCCCTCTCTTCTGTATTTGTGGACAGAATCTGGGATTGCTTGGTTTGGTGACCCAGGCCACATTCAGCACTGAGCCACCTTCCCGGGTGTGCATGACACAGTCTCGCTTTATCACTGCTGGACCGGGCATCTTTGGCACTTGAATGTGAGGGTCTCATGGGCTCCACCATGCCAGGCATAACACAGAGCTGATTCTAAACTTGGGAGCATGGACACCGCAGGGCAGGAGCGGGTACAAAAATGCCCCTCATCAGTTTTCCTTCCTGAGTCATCCCTGGGAGAAACCCTGTATGGAAGATCAGGTGTGTGGGAGAAAAACCCACCCCAGAGGAATAAAAATCGAAGAGTCCATTAGAGAAAAAACAGGCAATTATAGAAATGAATTAGGAAGCTATTGTGATGTGAAAATAGTAAATTATATTAACACATTTAGAAATACTTTCATCAAGAACCAGACACTGCTGAAATGATAAACATTGTATTGGTGTAGAATATTTATTAAATTTTTCATTAGTCATCGGAGAAAAACTAGAAATGAAAAAAATAGAAAAGATAATTAATGCACACAAAGAATAGAGTGAGAAGAGGAAACAGATATATCTCTATGTGTCACACTTTCAGAATGAAGGAAATAAGGAGTATGTTAGTCAATAAATACTTGCAAAGGAAATAGTTGACATTTTTACAGAAATGAAAGATCATGAGTTTAATGTGCACAAATTCATAAATAACATTAATGTCTTAACTATGATAGAGCAAACGATATCTAGAATAGATACAAAGTAATTTTAAAACTACTGGAGAAAATGAAAATTATTCTCAAATGAATGACAAGCACATTGGGACTGAGTTTCCCAGGACTGAAAAGTGGTAGAAAAAATGATCGGGGGCTCAGGTTCAGGTTGGATGAATGGAAACAGCTGGCATGTGCCTGTCTCGTTAAGAGGAGTCAAAATGGTGAGTAAATACCGAAATTCTAAGTGGATCTTCTAGGACAGCATGATGGGGCTCACCAGAGAACCACAGGGACATGGAAAGCACAGAGGAGAAAAGCTGATAGGCAGGAGAGCCTCCGAACAAGGAGACGGGGTGAGTGTATTAGTCTAGGTTCCCTAGAGGGAGATAACTAATTTTAAGCCTTTTGATTTATGATACTGGGATGACTTTTTCCTCATTTAGGTCTTTTGTTATTTCTTTGAGCAGTATTTTAAAATTGTCAATGTATACGTATTGCATCTCTTTGGTTAAATGTATTTCTCTTTTTTTGAGACAGAGTCTCACTCTGTTGCCCAGGCTGGAGTGCAATGGCAAGATCTCAGCTCACTGCAACCTCTGTTTCCTGGGTTGACGCGATTCTCCTGTCTCAGCCTCCTGAGTAGCTGGGATTACAGGCGTGTACCACCACACCCACCTAATTTTTGTATTTGGTTAAATGTATTTCTATGCATACTTTTCTTGTAGACACTGTCATAAATTGACTTGTTCCCCCTAATATACACGTTGAAATCCTGAGCCCCATTAGCTATAAATGTGAACATAGTTGGAAATAGAGTCTTTGCAAATGCATTTAAGTTATGATCAAGGGATCATAACGAATTAGGATGAGTCCTAATCTGATCTGAGTGATATCATAATCTGAAGAAGAGAAAAGACACACACAGAAGAATGGGTGTGAAGACAGAGGCAACCAGGTAGGTGTAAGCATTGAGAAGATGGAGGCAGAAACTGGTGGGATGCTGCCCCAAGCCAAGGAGTGCCTGGACCAGCAGAAAGTAGAACGAGTCATTTAAGAATTCTTCCATCAGCCGGGCACAGTGGCTTACACCTGTAATCCCAGCACTCTGGGAGGCTGAGGCAGGTGGATAACCTGAGGTCAGGAGTTCAAGACCAGCCTCACTAACATGGCGAGACCCCCGTCTCTACTAAAAATACAAAAAATAGCCGGGAATGGTGGTGCACACCTGTAGTCCAGTAACTCGGGAGGCAGAAGCAGGAGAATTGCTTGAACCTGGGAAGTGGAGGTTGCAGTGAGCCGAGATTGCACCATTGCACTCCAGCCTGGGCAACAAAGCAAAACTCCATCTCAAAAAAAATTCTTTCATCGAAACTGCATAGTTCTGTTAACATTTTTCTTATGTTGTACTTGGATTTTTTTTTTTTTTTGAGACGGAGTCTTGCTCTGTCGCCCAGGCTGGAGGGCAGTGTCGCAATCTCGGCCCATTGCAAGCTCCGCCTCCCAGGTTCACGCCATTCTCCTGCCTCAGCCTCCTGAGTAGCTGGGACTACAGGCGCCCACCACCACGCCCGGCCAATATTTTTTTGTGTATTTAGTAGAGACGGGGTTTCACCATGTTAGCCAGGATGGTCTAGATCTCCTGACCTCGTGATCTGCCTGCCTTGGCCTCCCAAAGTGCTGGGATTACAGGCGTGAGCCACCGCGCCCGGCATGTACTTTGATTTTTAGGTGAGCCGTGTTATCTCCCACATCAGATATTAATAGGTTTGTCTTTTGTGGATATGCTAGGATAACAGTGTCAGAATTTCATTTGACCTGTGCCATAACACTGAAGTAGAAGTGATCATTGCCTCTGAAATAGAAAGGACTGTAGGTATATGGGTGAGCTCTCAGTGGGATGTGCCACAGGTCCCTGGTGCTCATTAGTGAAGACAGTTCTGTCCCTTGCTTCCCAACCCTGTATTCAGTGAGAACCCATTGGCACCTTGATTTGGGCCATGAGAAAAATATTTATGTCACAGAAATTGGTAGATACCACTAATTACAGTATTTTAGAGATGTCTTTTTCTGAATCAGCATAGCTGTGGTGTCACTTGAAATGCCAGTGTGATGATTCCAAGTGGTGATATTTCAGGAGAAATTACACAGATAGCATCTGAGAAAGAGGGAAGGGCTCATAAGGTACAGAGAGGGTGTCAGGGCAGCAGGGTGGATTTATGTTTTCCTGGTTGGAATCTGATCTCCTGTCGTTGATTTAGTTGGTGGTTCAGGTTTGGATCTCTGAACTGAAGAGACGGGGACTCAGTAAGTGACATCAAGGAGTGTGACAATGAGGAATAAGGAAGACTGTGTCACATGCCGTGGACCAGAGCACACAGGTGTGTGGAGGTGTGGACCCAACGGTGCCATGTGGGATGGAGCCTCATGTCTGGGGATGGGAAAAAAAGGGGATCCAGTCAAGGGAAGTCAACATTCATAGACAAAAAAATGTACCACAGTTTAATGATCTTCTAGGAATCACCCCAGACAGTTTCCTTACACTCAAATATTGATTGCTGTCTCTAGAAATGACCAGCATACAGTCCAGATAATGTAGGTCCTAGATTGTCCTCCAGAGCCTCCTGGGATCATCAGATCTGTCCCTGAGGCTCCACCACGCTGAAGGATGCATTGTCCTCTCTGCTGTTCACCTCCCGGCTGCATCTTGTAGGCTTCTCTGGCTGTGCTGAGCCTCAAATAGCAGAATCCCGAGGACCACCAGGACCAAGCCAGCCACACCCATGCGGATGAGATTCTCCACTGTGTAATCCTGGGGGTGTTGGCCTAGGGATGCTGGACAAAGAGGTCACAGAGGTCAGGGCAGATCGGAATCACCCCGGGACTCCTGTATGTCCACCCAGGGCACCCACCTCCCCTTTACAGGACCTGACCCTCTGTGCCAGTCCCATAACTGAGAGCATCTCCTCACTCACTAGTCGTGGAGTCTGTCTTGTTTTGTGATGGGCTGAGGGTCTCAGCTGCTTCTGAGAATCAAAACAGTGGAGAAGAGCCCTGAGCCCAGCCTCACTCCTGGGCTCTGCATTCTTCTTTTCCCCTGTGTCTCTTGACATGAGTTTTATGGAGTTCCTCAATAAACCCTTCCTCTGCTGTAGCAGGGTTCCCTCCAGTCTCCTCATTGAATTATTTCAGACTTCCTGTGTTCTACAAATCCAAACTCAGCTCCTGAGTCATTTGGGAGAGTTTTCCTGCATCCCGGGAGCTCAGCATGGATATGGTAAGTGGTCCCCAATACAGAAATAACCAGGACCTTATGTGCTCTCTGTGCAGCCTGGGACCTTGTGTGCTCTCTGTGTCCTCTCTGAGCCCTAACTGGCTGCAAGGAGCAGGTGCAGGACCACAGAAGCCAATGCTCCCCAGAGATGAGTTTCACGGATCCGCCAGCTGAGGACCCAGGCTCCATGGAGGAGGGGTTGGACCTCAGGGGCTCTTGAATGTCAGGAACACAAAGGGGTGAAAGTCTGGGTCTGCCTCCCCTTCATGCCCTCAACCACTTCACCTGGGGTTTCATCTTCCGTTTAATCCTTAGGTAACTAATTCCTCATACAGGCAGTAACCCCTAGAATGCAATACACGTGCATGCACACCCACCCACACACACAAATATGCATATGTTAAATGCTGGTGCTATCCGAGGTTCATAAATGAATACTTCTGCTCCAGCAAGTGTGAGTCTAGATAAGAAGACCAATAACAAACCTGTAAAGACCTGTCATGTCAAATATGTGAAGCATATGGATGAATACATATAAAAATGTGTTTAGATATACCTCCACTCACATCATGTGTAATGTATAGAACCTGTGTATATATGTAAAACTTCAGAAATGTATTTATTATGTAGTTATATACACGTTAATATTTGAGAAATATTGGCATGTAATTTAGAAATAAAGAAATAAAATTTCCATGTATTATGATTTCTAAAATTGTACCAGAAATTAAAGGAGATCATTGAAGAGTAATTAGAAAGGAGCCATTCTCTAGTGGGTGAATAACAAATAAAAAGAACATAATGAAACCAGTCACTTTCTCATGGATACCTATCCTTCTTTAAAAAAAATATAGGTGTCGCTTCCAAGATGGTCGAATAGGAATGGCTCCGGTCTGCAGCTGGATTTCTGCATTTCCAACTGAGGTACCTGGTTTATCTCATTGGGACTGGTTGGACTGTGGCTGCAGCCCACAAAGGGCGAGCTGAAGCAGGATGGGGTGTCGCCTCACCTGGGAAGCACAAGGGGTCGGAGGATTTCCCTTTCCTAGCCAAGGGAAGCCGTGACAGACTGTATCCGGAGAAACAGTACCCTCCTGACCAACTACTGCACTATTCCCACAGTCTTAGCAACTGGCAGACCAGGAGATACCCTCCCGTGCCTGGCTCGGCAGGTCTCACACCCACGGAGCCTTGCTCACTGCTAGCGCAGCAGTCTGAGATCGACCTGCGATGCTGCAGCTGGATGGAGGGAAGGGCATCCACCATTGCTGAGGTTGGAGTAGCTCACAGTGTAAACAAAGATGCCTGGAAGCACGAACTGGGTGGAGCCCACCACAGCTCAGCAAGGCCTACTGCCTCTACAGATTCCACTTCTGGGGGCAGGGCATAGTAGAACAAAGGGCAGCAGGTAGCTTCTGCAGACTTAAACGTCCCTGTCTGATAGCCCTGAAGACAGCAGTGGTTCTCTCAGCACCGCATTAGAGCTCCAACAACGGACAGACTGCATCCTCAAGTGGGTCCCTGACCCCCGTGTAGCCTGACTGGGAAACACCTCCCAGTAGGGGCCAACAGACACCTCAAACAGGTGGGTGCCCCTCTGGGATGAAGCTTCGAAAGGAAGGGTCAGGCAGCAATATTTGCTGTTCTGCAGCCTCTGCTGGTGATACCCAGGCAAATAAGGTCTGGCTGGACTGGACCTCCAGCAAACACCAACAGACCTGCTGCTGAGGGGTCTGACTCTTAGAAGGAAAACTAACAAACAGAAAGGAATAGCATCAATGTCAACAAAAAGGACATCCACACCAAAACCCCATCCCTAGGTCACCAACATCAAAGACCAAAGGTAGATAAAACCACAAAGATGGGGAGAAACCAGAGCAGAAAAGCTGAAAATTCCAAAAACAGAGTGCCTCTTCTCTTCCAAAGGATCGCAGCTCCTCACCGGCAACAGAACAAGACTGGATGAAGAATGAGTTTGACAAGTTGATGGAAGTAGGTTTCAGAAGGTCGGTAATAACAAACTTCTTCAAGCTAAAGAAGCATGTTCTAACCCATTGCAAGGAAGCTAAAAACCTTGAAAAATGGTTAGATGAATGGCTAACTACAATAAACCGTGTAGAGAAGACCTTAAATGACCTGATGCAGCTGAAAACCACGGCACAAGAACTTCGTGATGCATGCACAAGCTTCAATAGCTGATTCGATCAAGTGGAAGAAAGGATATCAGTGACTGAAGATCAAATTAATGAAATAAAGCAAGAAGACAAGATTAGAGAAAAGAGAATGAAAAGAAATGAACAAAGCCTCCAAGAAATATGGGACTATGTGAAAAGACCAAATTTATGTTTGACTAGTGTACCGGAAAGTGACGAGGAGAATGGAACCAAGTTAGAAAACACTCTTCAGAATATTATCCAGGAGAACTTCCCTAACCTACAAAGGCAAGCCAACATTCAAATTCAGGAAATACAGAGAACACCACAAAGACACTCCTTGAGAAGAGCAACCCAAAGACACATAATTATCAGATTCACCAAGGTTGAAATGAAGGAAAAAATATTAAGGGCAGCCAGAGAGAAAGGTCTGGTTACCCAAAAAGAAAAGCCCATCAGACTAACAGCGGATCTCTTGGCAGAAACTCTACAAGCCAGAAGAGAGTGGAGGCCAATATTCAACATTCTTAAAGAAAATAATTTTCAACCCAGACTGTCATATCAAGCCAAACTAAGCTTCATCAGTGAAGGAGAAATAAAATCCTTTACAGCCAAGCAAATGCTGAGAGATTTTGTCACCACCAGGCCTGCCTTAAAAGAGCTCCTGAAGGAAGCACTAAACATGGAAAGGAACAATCAGTGCCAGCCACTGCAAAAACATGCCAAATGGTAAAGACCACTGACACTATGAAGAAACTGCATCAATTAATGGACAAAATAACCAGCTAACATCATAATGACATGATCAAACTCAAACATAACAGTATTAACCTTAAATGTAAATGGGTTAAATGCTCCAATTAAAAGACACAGACCAGCAAATTGGATAAAGAATCAAGACCCATCAGTGTGCTGTATTCAGGAGACCCATCTCATGTGCAGAGACACACATAGGCTCAAAATAAAGGTATGGAGGAAGATCTACCAAGCAAATGGAAAGAAAAAAAAAAAGCAGGAGTTGCAATCCTAGTCTCTGATAATACAGACTTTAAACCAACAAAGATCAAAAGAGACAAGGCCACTACATTATGGTAAAGGGATCAATTCAACAAGAAGAGTTAACTATCCTAAATATATATGCACCCAATACAGGAGCACCCAGATTCAAAAACCAAGTCCTTAGAGACCTACAAAAAGACTTAGACTCCCACACAATAATAATAGGAGACTTTAACACCCCTCTGTCAATATTAGATCAATGACACATAAGGTTAACAAGGATATCCAGGACTTGAACTCAGGTCTGAACCAAGCAGACCTAATAGACATCTACTGAACTCTACACCCCAAATCAACAGAATACACATTCTTCTCAGCATCACTTTGCACTTATTCCAAAATTGACCACATAATTGGTAGTAAACCACTCCTCAGCAAATGTAAAAGAACAGAAATCACAACAAACTGTCTCTCACACCACAGTGCAATCAAATTACAACTCAGGATTAATAAACTCACTCAAAACCACACAACTACATGGAAACTGACCAACCTGTTCCTGAATGACTACTGGGTAAATAATGAAATGAAGGCAGAAATAAAGATGTTCTTTGGAACCAATGAGAACAAAGACAAAACATAACAGAATCTCTGGGACACATTTAAAGCAGTGTGTAGAGGGAAATTTATAGCACTAAATGCCCAAAAGAGAAAGCAGGAAAGATCTAAAATCGACACCCTAACATCACAATTAAAAGAACTAGAGAAGCAAGAGCAAACAAATTCAAAAGCTAGCAGAAGGCAAGACATAACTAAGATCAGAGCAGAACTGAAGGAGATAGAGACACAAAAAACCCTTCAAAAAAATCAATGAATCCTGGAGCTGGTTTTTTGAAAAGATCAACAAAATTGATAGACCGCTAGGAAGACTAATAAACAAGAAAAGAGAGAAGAATCAAATAGATGCAATGAAAAATGATAAAGGGGATATCACCACCGATTCCACAGAAATACAAACTACCATCAGAGAATACTGTAAACACCTCTACACAAATAAACTAGAAAATCTAGAAGAAATGGATAAATTCCTGGACACATACACCCTCCCAAGACTAAACCAGAAAGAAGTTGAATCTATGAATAAACCAATAACAGGTTCTGAAATGAAGGCAATAATTAATAGCCTACCAACCAAAAAAAATCCAGGACCAGAAGGATTCGCAGCCGAATTCTACCAGAGGTACAAAGAGGAGCTGGTACCACTCTCTCTGAAACTACTCCAGTCAATGGAAAAAGAGGGAATCCTCCCTAACTCATTTTATGAGGCTAGCATCATCCTGATACCAAAGCCTCGTAGACACACAACAAAAAAGGATAATTTTAGGTCAATATCCCTGATGAACATTGATGCAAAACTCCTCAATAAAATACTGGCAAACCAAATCCAGCAGCACATCAAAAAGCTTACCCACCATGACCAAGTCAGCTTCATCCCTGGGATGCAAGGCTGGTTCAACATAGGCAAATCACTAAATGTAATCCATCACATAAACAGAACCAATGACAAAAACCACATGATTATCTTAATAGATGCAGAAAGGGCCTTTGACAAAATTCAACAGCCCTTCATGCTAAAAACTCTCAATAAACTCGGTACTGATGGAACATATCTCAAAATAATAACAGCTATTTATAGCAAACCCACAGCCAATATCATACTGAATGGGCAAAGAAGTATTCCCTTTGAAAACCGGCACAATGCGGGCTCTTTTTTGGTTCCATATGAACTTTAAAGTAGTTTTTTCCAATTCTGTGAAGAAAGTCATTGGTAGCTTGATGGGGATGGCATTGAATCTGTAAATTACCTTGGGCAGTATGGCCATTTTCACGATATTGATTCTTCTTACCCATGAGCATGGAATGTTCTTCCATTTGTTTGTGTCCTCTTTTATTTCCTTGAGCAGTGGTTTGTAGCACTACCTGACTTCAAACTATACTACAAGGCTACAGTAACCAAAACAGCATGGTACTGGTACCAAAACAGAGATATAGATCAATGGAACAGAACAGAGCCCTCAGAAATAATGCCGCATATCTACAACTATCTGATCTTTGACAAACCTGAGAAAAACAAGCAATGGGGAAAGGATTCCCTATTTAATAAATGGTGCTGGGAAAACTGGCTAGCCATATGTAGAAAGCTGAAACTGGATCCCTTCCTTACACCTTATACAAAAATCAATTCAAGATGGATTAAAGATTTAAACGTTAAACCTAAAACCATAAAAACCCTAGAAGAAAACCTAGGCATTACCATTCAGGACATAGGCGTGGGCAAGGACTTCATGTCCAAAACACCAAAAGCAATGGCAACAAAAGACAAAATTGACAAATGGGATCTAATTAAACTAAAGAGCTTCTGCACAGCAAAAGAAACTACCATCAGAGTGAACAGGCAACCTACAACATGGGAGAAAATTTTCGCAACCTACTCATCTGACAAAGGGCTAATATCCAGAATCTACAATGAACTCAAACAAATTTACAAGAAAAAAACAAACAACCCCATCAAAAAGTGGGCGAAGGACATGAACAGACACTTCTCAAAAGAAGACATTTATGCAGCCAAAAAACACATGAAGAAATGCTCATCATCACTGGCCATCAGAGAAATGCAAATCAAAACCACTATGAGATATCATCTCACACCAGTTAGAATGGCAATCATTAAAAAGTCAGGAAACAACAGGTGCTGGAGAGGATGCGGAGAAATAGGAACACTTTTACACTGTTGGTGGGACTGTAAACTAGTTCAACCATTGTGGAAGTCAGTGTGGCGATTCCTCAGGGATCTAGAACTAGAAATACCATTTGACCCAGCCATCCCATTACTGGGTATATACCCAAATGAGTATAAATCATGCTGCTATAAAGACACATGCACACGTATGTTTATTGCGGCACTATTCACAATAGCAAAGACTTGGAACCAACCCAAATGTCCAACAATGATAGACTGGATTAAGAAAATGTGGCACATATACACCATGGAATACTATGCAGCCATAAAAAATGATGAGTTCATATCCTTTGTAGGGACATGGATGAAATTGGAAACCATCATTCTCAGTAAACTATCACAAGAACAAAAAACCAAACACCGCATATTCTCACTCATAGGTGGGAATTGAACAATGAGATCACATGGACACAGGAAGGGGAATATCACACTCTGGGGACTGTGGTGGGGTCGGGGGAGGGGGGAGGGATAGCATTGGGAGATATACCTAATGCTAGATGACACATTAGTGGGTGCAGCACACCAGCATGGCACATGTATACATATGTAACTAACCTGCACAATGTGCACATGTACCCTAAAACTTAGAGTATAATAAAAAAAAAAAAAAAAAAAAAGAAAACCGGCACAAGACAAGAATTTCCTCTCTCACCACTCCTATTCAACATAGTGTTGGAAGTTCTGGCTAGGGCAATCACGCAAGAGAAAGAAATAAAGTGTATTCAATTAGGAAAAGAGAAAGTCAAATTATCTCTGCTTGCAGATGACATGATTATATATTTAAAACCCCATTGACTCAGCCCAAAATCTCCTTAAGCTGATAAGCAACTTCAGCAAAGTCTCAGGATACAAAATCAATGTGCAAAAATTACAAGCATTCCTATAAACCAATAATAGACAAACAGAGAGCCAAGTCATGAGTGAACTCCCATTTGCAATTACTACAAAGAGAATAAAATACCTAGGAATCCAACTAACAAAGGATGTGAAGGACCTCTTCAAAGAGAACTACAAACCACTGCTCAATGAATTAAAAGAGAACACAGACAAATGGAAGAACATTCCATGCTCATGGATAGGAAGAATCAATATTGTGAAAATGGCCACACTGCCCAAAGGGATTTATAGATTCAATGCTATCCCCATCAAGCTACCACTGACTTTCTTCACATAATTGGAAAAAACTACTTTAAAGTTCATATGGAACCAAAAAAAAGCCCGCATTGCCAAGACAATCCTAAGCAAAAAGAACAAAGTTGGAGGCATCACGCTACCTGACTTCAAACTACCCTTCAAGGCTACAGTAACCAAAGCAGCATGGTACTGGTACCAAAACAGATGCATAGACCAATGGAACAGAACAGAGCCCTCAAAAATAAAACCACACATCTACAACCATCTGATCTTTGACAAACTTGACAAAAACAAGAAATGGGGAAAGAATTCCCTATTTAATAAATGGTGCTAGAAAAACTGGCTAGCCACATGTAGAAAGCTGAAACTGGATCCCTTCCTTACACCCTATACGATAATTAAGTCAAGATGGATTAAAGACTTAAATGTAAGACCTAACACCATAAAAACCCTAGAAGAAAACCTAGGCAATACCATTCAGGACATAGGCATGGGCAAGGACTTCATGACTAAAACACCACAAGCAATGGCACCAAAAGCCAAAATAGACAAATGGGATCTAATTAAAGAGCTTCTGCACAGCAAAAGAAACTATCATGAGAGTGAACAGGCAGCCTACAGAATGGGAGAAAATTTTTGCAATCTACCCATTTGGCAAAGTGCTAATATCCAGAATCTATAAAGAACTTAAACACATTTACAAAAAAAAAAAATCAAAAAGTGGGCAAAGGATATGAACAGACACTTCTCAAGAGAAGACATTTATGCAGGCAACAGACATATGCAAAAATGCTTATCATCACTGGTCATCAGAGAAATGCACATCAAAACAGCAGTGAGATACCATCTCATGCCAGTTAGAATGGCAATCATTAAAAAGTCAGGAAACTACAGATGCTGGAGAGGATGTGGAAAAATAGGAACGCTTTTACACTGTTGGTGGGAGTGTAAATTAGTTCAACCATTGTGGAAGACAGTGTGACGATTCCTCAAGAATCTACAACTAGAACTACCATTTGACCCAGCAATCCCATTACTGGGCATATACCCAAAGGGTTATAAACCATTCTACGACAAAGACACATGCACACATATGTTTACTGTGGCACTAATCACAATAGCAAAGACTTGGAACCAACCCAAATGTCCATCAGTGGACTGCATTAAGAAAATGTGGCACATATACACCATGGAATACTATGCAGCCGTTAAAAAGGATGAGTTCATGTCCTTTGCAGGGACATTGATGAACCTGGAAACCATCACTCAGCAAACTGTCACAAGAACAGAAAACCAAACACCGCATGTTCTCACTCATAATGGGAGTTGAACAATGAGAACACATGGACACAGGGCGGGGAACATCACACACCGGGGCCAGTCTAGGGGTGGGGGGCTGGGAGAAGGATAGCATTAGGAGAAATACTAATGTGAATGACGAGTTGATGGGTGCAGCAAACCAACATGGCACCTGTATACCTACGTAACAAACCTGCACATTGTGCACATGTACCCTGGAACTTAAACTATAATAATAAAATATATATATATATAAAAAGAAATCAAATACCTCACTTATCAATTGTTAAAGATGTTGAATAATTCTTTAAGTTAAAATGAGCATACAATATTCTTAGGAGTAAAATTTCAAAACATGTCTTAAATTCATTAAGAAAATCTTCATTTTTAATGTGTGAAGGAGGAAGAGTTGATATTAATGAGAAATTTGTTTCTACATTGAATGTATAAATTAAATCAAGACTCAATTAAAGGGGAGTATAAATAAGGATTTTTAAATAATATATGCATACAATTTTAAGTTCATATATTATAAATTCATATATTCAAATACTGTTTTAAAAGTTTTAGAAAAAAAGTAACAAAGGACAAGTGCATACAGAAAATGCAGAGTAGAAATGAGTTAAACAGAAAGACGTGCTGTGAATACTTGCCTGACTTGTCCAGGGAGCAGGTGCAGGGCCCCTCCTTATTCTCAGGGATGCCCTGAGCACAGAGGCCTCCAGGTGAGCACAGGAGGGGCAGTGTGAGCGGCACCCACAGCTGGGGTGCTTCTCTCTAAAGGAGCACATCTGGGGTGGACTCCAGCCTCATCACAGTCAGATCCCACCGAGGCCCAAGCAGCCTCCTCTCTTGTCTTGAGATGGCCCAGGGACCCCGCAGGTGTGGGTGAAGGGCTTATACTCAGGGGCTCTTGGAAATGAGAAATGAGAGCTGCCAATACACTGTCCATCTGTCCTCTCTCCAACTCACCTGCCTCTCTTCCTCCTCCATCAGCCCCAGCATCTTCCCAGTGTCCAAGTCAGGCCTGGACCCCAAATCCTCCCCACCCAGCCTGTTCTCCTTCCTCTACTCATCACACATCCTGCAGGACAAGGCCAGGGGCTGGGGGTCCTGCAGAGCTGTGCCAGCTATTGATTTTGGTAGAAAATTGGAGACATTTTCTCTTGTACACGAGAGAGGGGAGACTCTCAACCAGCGGGGTTTTGTAAACTTTTGTTTTTTCCAAAATATTGTGTCTTTGTCTTACTAAGCTGAGATTCCAGGAGGGATGGGTAAAACTGCATGCACCTGCCCCCATCTCCGTTGGTTTTTTAACTCTTAACAAGTCTCAGTTATTGGGAGAATTAGGAGAGGGCCAGAGAGGGCTGTAGACGGGAGCAGGTCTAGGATGAGCCACATCCCAGATGCCCCAGAAGGTCAGAAATGAAGGGGCTTTGGGGCAGTCACATCCAGGCAGCTCCCCCTTATTCAGATGAGGAGTCCAGGGTGCAAGGGGAATGGGCTCTTTCAGAAGTTCCACCTCCCAAGGAGAGGCTGAGCCATCACAGACCCAGCCCCACCTCCCCGGGCTCCTCCCACCTGACTCCTAGACCAAGTACCTGACTGTGATCTCCCCTGACCCTGGCTCCCCCATGAGAGGTGACGGCTCCTGGGAATCCTGCTCAGGGAGGGGGAAAGATCCCTCTGCTCCGCTCATCAATGCTGAACCTCAGACACCTCCCTCCCCTCTGAACACCACGGAGGGAACACCTGCCCCATCCCTGAAGCCCCAGGAAGCCACGCAGACCACACCCTTACTGTCCACCCTCCCCGCTGCTGCCCTGGAAATCAGACCCTGAATATTGGAGGTAGCATTGAGATGAGTCTAGAAACTTCTCTTGAGCTGGGAGTGGCTGGTTTTGTCACCCATGGGGTCAGGACATAGGGTTTGGGACCCCCAGAGGCTCTGATTCTGAGGTGGAGACATCAGGAGGGGAGCGGGTGGGGTCTCCGTCTTCCACCCTCAGTCTAATCACATCTCTGAGGTTCACCACCCGCCCCCCCGCCCCCGTCTCCTCCCAGCCCTTCATGCTCTTTACTGAGACTTCAGGGGTGGGAGCCAGGGGTGGGAGGTCCCTGCCTATTTCCACTCTCCCATGGGCTGGACCCTCCCCTGTGGACCCTCCCGCTTCACTCCCCTCATTCATTATTGTCCCAGAGCTCTGCTGGGGGCAGGGCCTGAGCTGAGCCTTTGAGCTCGGAGAGGACAAGATCAGGGCCCTCACCTGAGACCACGAGCTCCAGGGGGTCACTGGGGAGAGACAGCAGGTAGGGGTTGGAGCTGAGTGAGCTGTAGCATCTGTAGGTCCCCACGTGGGCTGAGGTCACAGGACCCATGCGGAATTCAGCCTGGTTCTGCTGAGCTTGGTGCTCTGATCTCAGATGCAGTGGGGGATGGCCTGCCCCCTCCTTGGTCAGAAGGAAAGTGTGGAACTGCCCCCGTGACTGACACAGCAGGGTCACGTTCTTTCCTGGGGCTACTGTGGGGACCGGCTGCACCGAGAGAGAGGGTCTGTCATAGAACTGTCCTAGAGAGAAGAAGGATGGGTGAGGGGCTGCCCCACCTTGTTCTGAGCTGAGACCTCCCCAGGCCTCTCCCTGGGACCCTTAGTCTCTCTGTCTCTGTTTTCTCTGAGTCTCCCCTCCCCGCCCATCCCCTGTCTCTCTCTGTCTCTCCCTCCCTTGGGACCCCCAACCCTCATTCCGGCCATCACCACCTGGGCTCCCCTGGCAGGGCCTGTGCAGAGCCTGGGTCCCTGACTGAACCCGCTGGGCTCCTCACCTGTGATCAGGATGTCCAGGGGGTCACTGGGGGCCGACCACTCGGAGGAGAGGTTGTGTGCACTGTAGCATCTGTACTGGCCCCCGTGGGAGGGGCTCACAGGGCCCAGGGTGAAGTTGGCCTGGGAGAGCCCAGCCTGGGGCTGCCAACCAGGGCGCTGGAGGAAGTCACGTTCTCCCTCCTTATACAGAACAAATCTGTCGTAGCCGACATCAGAGACACACTGGAGGGTCAGGCTCTCCCCAGGGGCCACCATAGGACCTGGCTGCACTGAGAGTGATGGCTTCTTAGAAACACCTGGGAAAAGGTGTTCATGGTTTCCAGGAGCCGACCCTCAGGCTTCCCCACAAACCCTCCCTCTCCCCCGCTGATCTTCCTGTGTCTCCGGCCCCAGGAGCCCTGAGCCCTCTCGCCCCAACATCATCCCACCTGGAGCTGCCCTGAGACGCGGCTGCTCCCCACCTGCCTGGAGACTCAGGGAGACTCAGGGAACTCCAAGCAATTCTGTGAATTTCTCACCTGGGACCAGGAGCTCCAGGAGATCACTGGGTAGAGACCACACATAGGGAGAGTTCGAGTCATAAGCATAGCACCTGTACGACCACCTGCGACTCGGGCTCACGGGGCCCACGGAGAAGATGGCCCAGGACCACCCACGGGCATGGGAATGGGAGTTCAGGCGTTGTGGGTGTTCATCTTCTCCTTCCTTACACAGAATGAAGCCGTCAAATGCCACCTGTGAGACACACTGGAGGGTCACGTTCCCTCCTAAGGTCACCACAGGGCTGGGCAGAGCTGAGAGGGTGGGTTTGCTGTAGGCTCCTAGGAGAGAAGGAGGCACTGTGTTAAATGGGGCTCCCACCTCCCACATCATCCCCAGGGTTGAGCTGTGAGAGCGGAGATGCCCCTGAGACCCGACCCCCTTCCTGAGGGCAGAGCCTGGGGCTGGGACTCCTGAGTGTCCTCTCACCTGTCACCACCAGCTCCAGGGGGTCACTGTACTCTGATGAGTGATTGTGGCTGTAGTACTGACAGTGATACCGCCCTGCGTGTTCCCAGGTGATGGATGGGATGGGGAACTGGCCATTCTTCCCAGGCTCTTGTATCCGTCTAACCCAGGATGCTGATTTGTTTTCCCTATATAGATGGTACTCCTCAGCCTGAAGGCTCCCCTGACACCTGAGGGTCACAGGACTTCCCTGGATGATCACAGAGCCTGGCTCAGCCCAGAGGGTGGGCTTGGGGAGGTGCCCTGGAAGGAAATCAGAGGTCGGATTCTAAGTCATTTCCCACCCAACAGATCTCAGCTCTCAGCTGCAGGACCCTCCAGACACCCCCATCAGTCAGCCCAGAACTGCTATTCCCCATCCCCAGCTGCACGGGGGTGGCCCCTTGTCCCTAGTGAGGAGGAGGGACCTGGGACAGCTGGGAACAGACTCACCTGCCTGCACGTGGGTCCTGGGGCCCAGACTCAGCCCTGGAAGAGAGTTCCCTGTGAGGGATTTTTCCCCTGAAGCCTGGGCAGGTCCTCCCCTCCCTGGGATCTTTGTGAGCCCCTGGGGTCTCCTTAGGGACCAGAGTTTGGCTGTGGGGTGAGGTCCCTCCTAGGTTAGAAGCTCCCCTCCCTCTTCAAATCTCACCGAGACAGATCAGGACCGTGAGGATGGGGGTCATGGCGTCTCCTCCCACTGCCCTGCTCTGCGGATGGATGAGCCCTCAGTGCTGGCAGGACAGAGAGACGCACAGGGTGTGGACACTCGGAGGCTGGATCCTTCTTGTCATGGGGTTTTGTTATGTGCAACCACACAGGAAGTGCAACTGCCCTCTCAGGAGCCTGGCTGTCATACCTTTAGGGCTGAGGTGGGGGCAGGCACCAGGCCCTCTGCAGACATTTCAGACAGAAATGGGGTCTTTCCTGCCCCCCAGCCACTGTCTGTCTGGTTTATCCTCATCTCCTTGAGACCTGGGATGTAGCAGCAAATAGAACTGGTGCCCTCCTGCGTCTGCCCTTCCAGATGAGGGTGAGCAGAGGCTTCCTCTTCCTTCTCAGAGCTTCCCCATGGGGTCTCCCTCCCTCCTTCAGCCCGTCCATCAGCTCAGCGTTGCGGGGTCCTTACCATGGCGGTCGTCCCTCCAGCCCTGGAGATGCTTCAGGGAAAACCCAGGTCCATGCTGCAGTTAGACTCAGATCAGCAGAGACGCACCTGACACCTGGCTGTGTAGCTCAGGTTGAGCTGCGTGTGGCAGTGAGCACAGAGGAGTAATGCAGGGTCTACCATGGTGGCTCATGCCTGGAATCCCAGCACTTCAGGAGGCTGAGGTGGGTGAAGGCTAGAGGCCAGGAGCTTCAGATTACCCTGGGCCACATAGCAAGACCTTGTCTGTATAAAAAAAGCAAAAAATTAGCCAGGCATGGCAGCTCACATCTCTAGTCCCAGCTACTCAGGAGGCTGAGGTGGGAGGAATACTTCGGCCTGGGAGGCGGAGGCTGCAGGGAGCTATGATCACCCCTTAGCATTCCAGCCTCAGTGACAGAGTGAGACCCTGTCTCAAAACGGGAAATGCAGGGATTAACTATAATAAAACATATTTGTTCTGTCTTGAGAGTGTGTGTTTCCTTCCTACCAAACCGTCCCTCTCCTGTACTTCCCCTTTTCTCTTTGTTGCAACATCACCCACCCCCACCCCGGGAATGAGGCTCTGAGTCGGTCCCGCCCCCTCAGTGTCCCTTGCGTCCTTGGCCTTCCCTCGGCACCTCCGTCCATGTTCAGAGTTTTCAGAAGAATTTGTTAGGTCTGTAATCTGATTCTGGGGAAGGTGAGCTGATTTGTATTTAATTCCTGATTATCATCCAGGGTTTATGTGACTTTGGACATGAATGTCACCTCTGAGCCTGCTGTCGTGAACCCCACTCATCACAGTGGCTGTGGGGGTCAGTGGTGCCCAGGACATGGGAGGCTCAGCCATGGTGAATTTCCAGACCAGTTCAGACAGGAGGGTGGGGACGGGAGAGGATCCTGGTGCTGGGCTCCACAGTCCAGGAGGATGATTGACGCCCCCACTCAAGAGCCCACATCGGCTCCAAATACCATGAAATTCTCCTTGTGATACATCTGAAATATGCAGATCATCACAGCCACGGGCACAGAAAGAGGAAGAACAGTTCCTCACATTGAGACGCATCCCCTTCCATGAGCAGAGTTCAATGCTGAGTGGCCACAGGTGTCTGGGACCACCCAGGGTCATTAGGGAGGAGGAGGCTCCCACCTCCGTGTGGGACAGAAGAGGAACCCCACGTCCTCCCAGGCAGGGAGGGGTCAGGGCTCTGGGTGACGCTGGAAGCTGTGGCTCCCCCTCCCCTGTGTGTGTGGACAGGCGCTGGGGGGTCTCTGCTCACTCACTGGAGGCCATGGTCAGTGCTCAGCCCCTCCCCTGTGTGTGAGAAACAGATTCAATCCACGGTGGTCTGACATGGGCGTCTGCTCTGCCCCACAGGTGAGTGTGAGACTGGCGTTGGTCCCATCCCTGCTGGGCACAATCTTGAGCTGACACTGAGTTTGGGGGAGTGGGGAGGAGCAGCGGCAACAATCCCCTTCATCAGGCTGATGCCTGGACAGCCGTGGGAGAAACCCTTTATGAAAGGTCAGGTGCGTGGGAGGAGCCGCCCCACAGGAATGACAACCAAGATACATGAGGAAAACACAGACAGTTGTTGAAATGCATTAGACAGACATTGTGAAGGTGAATTAATTTTTATATTAATTTATATATTATATAAAAGAGTCCCAAGCCCTTCTCAGCCTTTTCCCCTGCTATCATTGCTACCGAAACTTTGGGGCTTCTGTCTCCACCCTCAGGTGCCCCCCTCTTCCTGTCACAGAAGTTTTCTTCCTGGACATCAGCAGCTGGGCTGGACCCGGGGAAGGACATGGGAGTGTGAGGGCCAGTGAGGAGGTTGTGGGGGTAGGTGGGCGTCTGGGGTCTTCGGGCAGAATTACCTCCTCCACAGGCCTCTGTCGTTCTCTGACTCCACAGTCCCCACAGGACTTTGGAAATCAGCCTCCCTCTGGGCTGGGTGAAGAGGGACAGAGCTTCAGCCTTGGGATCATGAGAGCCACCTGCCCTGCACAGAGAACTCAAGAGAAAAGAAGGAAAGCTGAAAACACACTTGCATAGATGTTTTAAAAACGTCGTTAGATGAAACAACCAAAAGAATAAGGTATGTTCATGTATGTTCACATTTATTCTCTTCTTTCTAGGTTTTCTCACTGGGAAATGCTGGAGCCGTTTTTCTGAGCTGAACTTTCCCATCTGGAATCTGTCTGGTTGGTGGTGCCCTGACCCCACCTTCAGTCAGCCCATGGGTCTCCCCGCCAACTTCCTACTCACCCAATGTCCTGTGTTGGCCCTGAGGCCAGTGTCAGAGGAGAAAGAAGAGGAGGAAGAGCACCAGCTGAAGGCCACTGAGACCCCGATCACAACCCCCAGGTGCTTTCCCAGACCCTGAGGTAGGACTGTGAAGGTGTACTGATGCCCTTGCCAAATGAAAGGAAACTGTTCCTGATGGTTCTTATTAACAGTGATGGAGAAAAAAATATTTAACACATCAATGGCTGAATACTGGGTATCAGGGGATGTATTAATTTGCTCAAACTACAAAACCACATCTGTTACAACATCTTCAATTGGATCTGATTAAGCTTACAATAATCTAATATCATTATCCAAGATCCCTGCGTCTTCTGTGGAGGTAAAATAGGAGAGGTGAATGGCAAGGTTGTGGGAATCACTGTCTCTGCACGCTTCAAGTCCCAATATATGGAATTCCTCCAGGAATGCAAGACTGCTTTTGGTTTACAGTTTAGCTGGGAAGAGGCAGTTCTAGTGGCTCCCACTGGGCCCACTCTAATAACCCTCACTCAACAAGTGAGGGAACCACTGTGGGGGTTGTGATAGTTGTTGAATATGTCTATTCCAATGTTGCCCTCTGGAACTGGGGATACAGCCACAGGGTGGGTTTAGGGATACACTGGATTCACTATGGAACACGTGAGCTCAAACTCCACCAATCACCTTGCCTCTAGCAGCCACTACTCTGACTGGAGGGCCACAGTGACGTTTCGGGTCTCCTGGAATTAATGTCAGTTCATACCCCATTTCCAGTAATGCCCAAATTATCTGATTATTTTCCCCAAGGCTCCATTGCCATTGTAAAAGGCTGCAGGTCCCTTTAACCAAAGTCCAGGAGAAAGATTAAGAGTATATATTCTTGGTAGTGTACCAGGGACAGTGCCCTCACGGGAACCCTGCCTGGGATCCCTTTAATTCAGGGGATTCTGGCTCTATGAACTGACTCAGTGCTAGCCATTGATTGAGAGACTGTGGCTCTCTGCTTTTATGATTTGGGTTGACTTTTGTTCACTTGACATAGAAATTTTCTGCTTATACAGATCAAGTGAGAATTTAGTAGGTTTCCTATCTATCTCCCTTGTTAGAATGCCGTGATCAACTAGCCAACACCATAAGTCTGCGGGACTATTCCGATCGCTGGTTTGACTTTGCTGTCCATCATGGTAACCAAACCCACCTTGCCTTTGGTGGCTGAGTTCCTCTACTTGGCCCCTGTCTCTCTGGGGGCCAAGAGGTAGGGGCCAAATTACTCCCATTACATTTAGATTTTTTAAAATTCAGCAGTTCCACTGTAGGTTCCAGCTTCCAGAGAAGAGAAATCACAGAGCTCCTCAAGGATGCCAGAGCTCCCTTTGCAATATTGTTGAAAGATACATCTTCTGATGCTTCCAATGTGGGTTACTAGGTTTGATACATGCATGGTAACATTACAGTCTTCCTAAGCCTTTAAGTTAATTCCTCTGCAGCAAACCAAGGCATGTCTGGCATTTTGAGTTTATTTACTGCAGGCCAGCTTTTGCTCCATGTTTCAGCCAATCAACCAGACAAACTGGTAGAATCATTTCCGGTTCTCCAAGATGCAACATTAAATGTGCAATCTCTGTTTAGTGAGCTTATATATATAAATTCGGTCCGACTCAACTTTATGTTCTTTTCACCATTATCCTAAACCCTTAATATCCACTCTGACACGTGTTCCTCAGACTTCTGTATGGATAAATTAGAAAAATAAATAAATTACTTTGGAGTGTAGCACAACTTCTCATGAGCCACACTTTGTAACACACTTTTCAGGGCCTGCGAGACTTGAATCTAGTTATAGGTCTAGAAGCAAAGAGGGTTGGTCAGGATGTATCCTAAGGAGAATCAGCATAGCCTTGCATGGCAACTGCCTCAGGGGAGGCCAGTATTGTTTCCTCAGACAGTACAGGGTTAATCTCCTCCCTTGCAGATAGAGAGGATGCTTCTATTGGCAAAGAAGACTCATTCAAAGTTAGGGGCTTGATATCCTCAGCTGTATCAGGGTCTTAATATACATCCTCATTCCATCTTTCAAGATCTCACCCATTCCTGACCAATGGCATTACTTGAACAGTAGATACCCTGTGAGGCTGGGGACTCCGCTTGAATTGTAATACAGCCACTTCAAGGATGAGATTCTCGGTTTGATTTTCAGCAATCTCACCCCTACAGCTACAGATGATAAGAGTCTCTTTCAGGGCACACATAGAAACCTCAGATATTTATGTAGTGGTGCTTGAACTGGAAATTCTAATCTCTGGGCTCATCTTTTTCTTTACCTCTTTATCCAATGACAAAACAGCCACACATACTATACTTAATAGTTTGACAACAATCTTCAAAGGTGTATGCAAGGCCACCCAGATTCTCGTTCCTTATAAGTGTAGGATTAGGAGCATCTAGTGGTGTACCCCTAATGCCACATCATGCCACGGACTATCACAGACTTCCTTCCTTCCTTCTTCCTTCCTTCCTTTCTTCCTTTCTCTTTCTTTCTCTTTCTGTTTCTGTCATACTGTCTTAATGTCTTTAAATCTAATCAGACAGCCAGTTCCATAAACCTCAGAAACAGTAGACAAAACATATTAAGATTCAGTTCATCTAGAATCATTCCTATGATCAAATTATGTATTTGTAAGTGTTCTCCAGAGAAACAGAACCGATATATGTACATATGTGCATATCTATATCTACTTATCTTGCTATCTAGGAATGGGTTCATGTAATTGTTGGCACTTGGTGAGTCCAAAATCTGCAGGACAAACAGCCTGAAGACTTGGGGAAGAGTTTCAGCTCCAGTCAGCCAAACAACCTGCTTGCAAAATTTTTTACTATTCTGTGGAGCACATTACTTCTTTTCCTTCTCACAATGCACTTATTATCTTTTAACACAATGCATACTCTATCTATTATTTATTGTGTGTAATGTCCACTTTTCTTGACTACAATATTGACTTAATACAGGCAGGCTCTTTGGAAGTTTTCATGTCCTTTATTCTGAGACATCTCATACACCATGTTTGACACAGATCAGATACTTCACATGTGCCTATGGAAACAGGGAATAAAAGTTTCTCCACTCCTGCCAAGTTCATTTCTATCACAGAGACAATTTGTTCCAACTTGATTCTTTTCTTCTCCCTTCCAGGCAGCCTTTTGTACAAAGTTCTCAGAATAGAAAAAGAATAACATTCAGGAGGCAAGACCCCAAGGTTGGGAAGAAACACATCCAGACTCATTGCCTCCTCCTTCATCTCAGTTCTTAGACATCAGGGTCCTCATCTGATATCTTATTTCCATGTGGTTTCTCCAAGAATTTCAGAGATGTTTCTTTCTTTCTTTCTTTCTTTCTTTCTTTCTTTCTTTCTTTCTTTCTTTCTTTCTTTCTTTCTTTTTCTTTTTCTTTCTTTCTCTTTCTTTCTTTTTCTTCCTTCCTTCCTTCCTTTCTCTTTCTCTCTCTCTCTCTGTTTCTGTCATACTGTCTTTATCTTTTTTCTGTCTCTCTTTCTCTCTATCTCTTTCTATCTCTGTTTCTGTCTCTTGCTCTCTTTTTCTCAGTTGAATGGATCTAATCACTACTATTAGCTCTCAGTCATTTGAACATTTCAAAAATGTTTTTCTGAGAGCATCTCAAATCCCCATGCAAATACTGTCAGTGTACTCACAGATGATATAATAATTACCTGTCAGCAAGAAGATGACCTCATGGTGTCCCAAACCTTTATATCAGGGATAAGATGTCCCCTTTTGCACAGGTGCCCAGACTGTGACCATGAAGGCTACTTCTTCAGCAAGAAATGGCATTTGGTAAGAGGAATTTTCTTTGATACAGAGCCATATTCTCAGGGAATTAGAGTGTTTATCATAAAAAACTTGGTGTGTACACAAAATTATTGTTTAGTCCTAGCATCAGCATGGACCATTAAAAAAAAACCCTTAAAGTAATAATATTTTCTGAGGGTTCCTGAGACATAGAATTGCCCCAGCCTTCCCGCTCAAGAGTTGCCTGGCATCTCTTATTTTCCTCTTCTGTCATAGCCCCATCCGAAACACTGTCTCTGAATGAACACGCCAAGCCTCACAGTCTTCACTCTGCTGCTTGTATGAGGGTTAAGAGTGTGTCAGCTCTTGCCACCTGCTTACACACTTCCTGTCTAATGACACCTGCAACTTAGGAGATTTAAAATTACCTGTGGTGGTTGCGTGTTGTGCTTTGGTTGGCAATGGCATATGTCTCCGGAAACTTTCTGTCATAAGTGCAAAGCCATACACCTCCATCTCTTTCCCATGGGTTCTGGGGATTACCATGCACTTAACTGCAACAATAATTTCATGTCCGTAGAAAATCCTGGAACCAGTGTAAAGAAGGTAAACTCTATCTCTCACTTCACCAAATAGAATCTCACCTTTTAAAGTGAGTGACTGTTTTCAAGGCTTAGGGAGCAGGGATAATCAGGGACTATAAATGTGTTCAGGTATAAATGCATCTCTGACTCTTAGCCAGCTTTAAAAGTGCTGTGCTACACCCCAAACCTTTGCACCTGGTCCAGATCTGTTGGAATTTAAAGATCAAGCGTTCTAAAGCTGTCACTCCACTCAGTCTTAAAACAGTGAGCACTTAGTCTGTTCTGACAGCTAAGATCCCAGCCAGAAGAGCCGTGGGGTGGGGATTTTCCTGCCAGGATCTCAGGAAGTAAGATGTGCCTCATTTAGCCTACTATTGTGCCTCTCTGCAAATCACTTTGATAAGAGATGAAACAGAGGTTTTCATTTCCCCACGAATGACTGCCATTCTTAAAGAGCAGATGAGACCCATAGTCCCAGCTGGTCTAGGACTCACAGATATTTTCTTGTGTCCATGATTTTCCATCATTTTGTTGTTCTCACTGCTGCTCAACTAAGTTTAGTGGAATTTAAATTTAGTTGTATGTTTCCTTTATGATTCGTGCATAGCTCCTTTCTTTCTCTTGTTTGGATTTGCTGACCAATGTCTACTATAAATTTGCTAAATTTCTCATACTTGTCACAAGACATTTTCTTTCCAAGAAAATTTTGAATAAGTTTGTGTGTATATGCTACATAAAATGCATGGTTTTATTTCTCACTCTCCTACTTTTCTCCCTGTCCACTGGGACCAAACTGTTATCATTATTATATAGCCTTCCAGAAACGGTTTTGATTTTCTAAAGCATCTATTTCTCTAAACTAATCTACACTTTACCAAGATTCTAGTATTTTCCAAATTTTAATGACAGTTAAATCCCATTGTAGCTTAACAACGTTTTAATTATTAAACCAGTTAAAAAATTATTATAAAAATGCTGTTCTTGTTTTGGTAAGTCCTAATGTTTTTGCAATGCATCTACATTTTTAGGTATTATAAAATAGTATGTCAAGTTAAATATGGCTAAAATACTCTATCTTCTACTTCATAGTATCATATAAGGTTTCACTCGCATCTCACATTCATTCATTTCAAACTGAGAAACCATTACTCTTCATTTAATTTTCACCCAGATATAAAAATCCATAGCTGCAAGAAGAATAGTAATTATGGGCCAGGCACGGTAGCTCATGCTTGTAATCCCAGCACTTTGGGAGGCCAAGGCGGGTTAATCATCTGAGGTCAGGAATTCAAGACCAGCCTGGCCAACATGGTAAAACCCCTTCTCTACAAAAATGCAAAAATTAGCCAAGCATGATGGTGGGTACCTGTAATCCCAGCTACTCATGAGGCTGAGGCAGGAGATTCGCTTAAACCCAGGAGGCAGAGGTTGCAGTGAGCCAAGATTGTGCCACTGCACTCCAGCCTGGGTGACAGAGCAAGACGCCATCAAAAAAAAAAAAAAAAGAAGAATAGTAATTATGTACAGTGACGCTATGACCATAAATTAAACATGTAACAAAAAAATGGATTTCAAATTTAAAGAAATCTTTTTTAAATTTTATTTTGCATTTGGTTGATAATCTCCGAGAAAAACATATATTTGTGAGGCTTTTTTTCTTACCCACAGAAATCCTTGTTTACATAATTTCCCTACTTAGATAACAAATGATATTTTATTTTACTGTTTAGAATGAGCACTTAAAATATTAATGACAGCCTCCTTTTTTCAATTTTGATATATAAAATATTTCTAATATTCTGAGTTCCATATTATATGTCGTTAGTCTTAAATAAGTTTTACTATTTGAAATATTGTAATATTTTTAATTGTTCTATGGCTCATGTTTTAAAATTGCTTACTAAGTATTTGCCTCAACTCATGTTTTAAAATATATATACCTGTTTCTATATGCTTAATCTACTAGATATTAATTTATATGGTTATATGCCTTTACATAAATATTTTTATTTGCCTAAATGGCATCCAGTAGAAACTGGTTTTAGTTTTTAAACTAAATGTCAAAATATTTAAATCCATGTATTTAACAAATATTCTTCCAACTCATTTTGGAATTAACTTTTACTCAAATACTAAGTTCTTAATTTTTTTATACCTATAATTCTCCTGGTCTCTAATCTTTGGAATTCAAAGATCAAACAAAATTTCTATCTCTGATCTGCATCTATTTCTTTACATATCTACCTATCAAATACTTCACATTATTTTGTAGACTGTTTTTTTCTTTGGTTTACTATAACCAATTTTTATCTGTAATTTTAAAATATTAGATAAAACTATTTTTAATATTATAATTAATTTTCTTTCTGTGTCTTTTTTTTTTTTTGACCAGTACAGGACATTTGGGAATGTTAGTATTTGGTTGTAAAATACATTGTTGATGCACACATATTTTGTTGGTCAAATTATTTAAGATATTGACTCACTTCACGCAGTATAGTGGTTTATTGCATTTTGTCAGGTCTTAAGCACCCTTTCTTTTTTTTTTAATAGTATTTCTTCCAGGGGCCGGGCGCGGTGGCTCACGCCTGTAATCCCAGCACTTTAGGAGGCCGAGGCGGGCGGATCACGAGGTCAGGAGATCGAGACCATCCTAGCTAACAGGGTGAAACCCCGTCTCTACTAAAAATACAAAAAAATTAGCCGGGCTTGGTGGCGAGCGCCTGTAGTCCCAGCTACTCGGGAGGCTGAGGCAGGAGAATGGCGTGAACCCGGGAGGCGGAGCTCGCAGTGAGCCGAGATCGCGCCACCGCACTCCAGCCTGGGCGACAGAGCGAGACTCCGTCTCAAAAAAAGTATTTCTTCCACATTTACTCAATTGAGTGGTTGATTTGTACAATTACATACATTTTCTTAAGCCATTTTTTCATCAAAATTGCAAATACAATACTGCCTCTACAAAGAAGAATTTACAAATTATTTTTTACCCAGTGTTGTATGTATTTGCACAACTCATAAATATTAATAAATATCTGTTGTATTCTATGTAGCAGTTTATTAAGCAACTATGAAACAGAATTGTGTCCAAATGTTACAAAGGTAATATTTTGATTGCCAAAATATACATTCATGTTTAAACATTTTTTTTCAATTCTTAGTTGGATTTACTAGAGATATATTATATTTTAGAAATGGGTGAGGCACTGTGGCTCATGCCTGTAATCCCATCACTTTGGGAGGCCATGGTGGGCGGATCACCTGAGGTCAGGAGTTCAAGACCAGCCTGACCGACATGGTGAAACTCCGTCTCTACTAAAAATTCAAAATTAGCCGGGCATGGTGACACATGTCTGTAAGCCCAGCTACTCAGAAAGCTGAGGCAAGAGAATCACTTGAACCCAGAAGGTGGAAGTTGCAGTGAGCCGACATTGCACCATTGCACTCCAGCCAGGGCAACAAGAGAGAAACTCCATCTCAACAACAACAACAAATTAAAAATTAAAATATGGTGAATTTCAGGGTTGCGATCTTGTTTCTGAACAATTTCCATGTGCTGCTAATTATATAACTGTAATAGTAAAAAGGGGTGCTTTTTAATATTGAAAAATAGTAAAAATAGTAGAAGAGATAGTGACCCTTAATATATCACAGGTTTGTCCATCACTGAGCTCAGGAGGCAGTGCTCGTAGGTCTCACCTAAATAACAGACTCATTTTGTTTTTCCACTTTGAGTATTTTTAAGGCACATATTAAAGATGTATACCTTGACGACTTTATATATATAGTGAAATAATCACCACAATCCATCACCTCACTTGTGTGTGTGGTAAAACTACTTAGAATCTACTATTTTAGCAAATTTCAAGCGTATAGTACAGTACTCTTACCAATAGTTTTCATTCTATACATTAGATATCGATAATTTATTCATCTTGGAGAATTAAAACGTTGTACCCCTTGGCCAGGCACAGTGGCTCACGCCTGTGATCCCAGCAGTTTGGGAGGCTGAGGCGGAGGGATCACCTGAGGCAAGGAGTTCAAGACCAGCCTGGGCAACACAGCGAGACCCCCATCTCTACCAAGGATACAGAAGGTTAGCCAGGCGTGGTGGTGCACGCCTGTAGTCCCAGCTACCCAAGAGGCTGAGGTGGAAGGATTGACTGAGCTTGGGAGGTTGAGGCTGCAGTGAGCTGTGATCACACCACTGGGCTCCAGTCTAGGAGACAGAGCAAGACCTTGCCTCAAATAATTAAGTAAATTTGTTAATGCTTAAAAAAATGCTGAATAATATTTTATGATAGGTATATATCACATTTTCTCTATCCATTCATCCATCGATGAACATTTATGTTGTTTTCGTATCTTGGCTACTGTGAATAATGGTGCAATAAATATAGGCGTGCAACACCTCCTCAGTATTTTGATTTCAATTGCTCTGGCGAAGTATCCAGCAGAGAAATGCTGTGTCGTGTAGTTCCATTTTAATTTTTTGAGGAATCTCTATGCGTTTTTCAAAATGGCTGCACCAATCTGCATTTTTATTAATGGTATTCCAGGGTTCCTTTTTCTTCACGCCCTTCGAAGCACTTACCTTCGTTTGCCTTTGTTATCATCCTAACCAGAGAGGTGATGCCTCACTGTGATTTTAATGCGTTTTCCTCATGATTAGGTATGTGGAGCCTTTTTCTAAACCTGCCGTCCATTCCTGTGTCTTTGGAAAGATGTCTATTCGGCTCCCATGAGTCTGTGGGTCAGATCTGCAGCCATTTTGTTAGATCTGCGTGATGGCTGCTGTGAGCGCTCACAGCTTCCGGTGCTCCCGCCTCCTCCAAGACTATTCCGCCATTCCAGTCCCCTCGACGATCTGGTGCTGAGAGGCTGACGTGGGCAGTTTCCCCTGAGGCTGAGGAACCTGGGTGTTCCCTCTGCTTTCACTTTCCTCTGTGGGAGAGCTCGCAGCCCGCGGAGTCTCTCCTGGCACTGAACTGTGCCTCCCTGGGGAAGAAGAGATGCAGAAAGAAGAGAAAAGCTGTTCTTTCTCTTTTCTTCAAAAATCTTTTTTTTAATTTTCAAATATATTGCTTTATGCCATTTCAAAAACAAACCTGCACGTTGTGCACAAGTACCCTAAAACTTAAAGTATAATAATAATAAAATAAAAAAAGAAAAAATAAAAAAATAAAAATAAATGCAAGACACTGGGAATATATTGCAGATCAACATAACTCTCCCTGTCTCCAATGAGTCTAGACGTTTTGAGTAATAAAAAAGTGAAACAGGGCTAGTGAATAAAGCTTGATTATAGCATTCTGCTATACTATTACCTAATTTTGTAACTATTTCTTGTATCTTATTCTGCAATTTTTTGCTCGTTGTGGTGCTGGCAACTCTCACTGCACTTCTAGGTTGTCACAGAAATATTTCTGGTCCTGGATGGCGGTCACAGCTGATGTTTCTGTGGGGCTATGAGGAACAGAATCACGTAATCCACCGTCTTGGAATTCCACTCCTCCTGCCTTGGTTTTAGCGGTAATTTTTTAAACAAAAATTAAAGATTTTGAAAATATGAATCTGAGGGCAAGATAACACAAAAGTTTTTTTAAAAAATTAGATCTGACACAGTAAGTGACTCATTTGTTTGCGTCTTGCATTCTCCAGCTTGCATTCCTGCCCCCATGGCTTTGTCATCAACAGGATCCATCCAGTACTACATTCACCACGAACCTGAAGTCTAAGGGTTTGGGAGGCCATTGATGTTTATTGCTTGTACACTCAGTGTACAGATTTTGCAACTCTGTCCATCTTCCAGTTTGGAAACTATGTCCTGTTTCACTTTGGAAGTATACACATATTTTCATGAATATACGTGCAGTGCAAAAATATTTTCGGCCGGGCGCGGTGGCTCACGCCTGTAACCCCAGCACTTTGGGAGGCCGAGGCGGGCGGATCAAGAGGTCAGGAGATCGAGACCATCCTGGCTAACACGGTGAAACCCTGTCTCTACTAAAAATACAAAAAATTAGCCGGGCGTGGTGGCAGGCGCCTGTAGTTCCAGCTTCTCGGGAGGCTGAGGCAGGAGAATGGCGGGAACCCGGGAGGCAGAGGTTGCAGTGAGCCGAGATGGCGCCATTGCACTCCAGTCTGGGGGACAGAGTGAGACTCCGTCCCAAAAAAAAAAAAAAAAAAAAAAATTCACATATAATTCATAAACCCAAAGACAAAACCTAGGTAAAAAATAAACTAATCTTATACCAAGTTAAGGTTTCACTAAACAAAGATGAATTATTCCCACAGAATAATCTGTAGATTATTCAGATTATGCAGATTATTCAGACTAAAAATGGTCTGAAATTTTCTGCAGAAATCTTCTACAGAGAAAAGAATGTTTCCTGTGGAATACTTCAGATAGAAAAGGGAGATACTGGTTCTTGCGTCCATTTCCACTTTTGGAATGTGGTAATTTGGTGCTGTAAATGAGGTATTTTGTTTGTTTGGCTTATTTTCTTTTGTTTTAGCACTAGTAAACATATATGGTTTATATATATTCATTTATTTCAATCCATTGAAATATTATTTGATGCTATAAATATTCCATTCTTTGTCAGTGGGATCCTTCATGATTGCCTTTCTGTTTAAGTCAAATGAATTTGAAGGTAATTGTGACTCCTTTGTTCTCTTGTATAATAAGGGGTTCTGAGTTCATTTCATGCATTCTGTCTTAATGTGGACTCACCTATTTCCTCAAACAGAAATAAAAAACATTTCACTATCTAAGTATATTTTAAGATTAAATATTTTCGATGATATATGTATTTACTATACATCGTCAAAATTATTTATTATAATAATCATATATATTATTTGATTATTTAAAAATTTTAAAAAATTATAATATAAAATGAGGTATATGCAATCGTCAAAATTCTTTATTACAGTAATAATTATAAATCAATATATTATATATCATATTTGATTATTTTAAAACATTAAAAATCTATAATATAAAATGATGTATAATATGTATTACTTATAAAACATAGTTAAATAATTTTGCTTAAAATTCAGTGGAAATAATTCACCTTTGTTTAGTAAAATCTTAATTTGGTGTTAAGATTAGTTTCATTACTCTTTTTACTTAGGTTTTGTCTTTAGGTTCATAAATCGTATGTGAAAATATTTTGGCACTACACCTATTCAAGAAAATATATGTCTATTTCCAAACTGAAACAACAAACAAAGCACAATGAGGTTAGTCTAGCTTCATCCCATCTCCTCTGCTGTTTTCTCCCTCCGTCACAAGTACCTAGGGTTTTGTTGTGGTTTTTGTTGTCGTTTTGATTTTGTTTTTATTTTTGTTGAAACGGAGTCTCGCTCTGTCACCCAGGCTGGAGTGCAATGGCACGATCTCAGCTCAATGCAACCTCCGCCTCCTGGGTTTAAGCCATTCTTCTGCCTCAGCCTCCCAAGTAGCTGAGTGTACCCAGTTTTAAAGGTTTTCATGTATTCTTTCATTTTTAAAATGTAAAATACAAACACACACACAGAAAAGCATAGCAATATACTAGTTCTCTCTGGCTCTTTCTCAAAGAAAGCTAATGACTAATAATGTCCTGAGTGTTGTCTTTTTCTTTTCTAACTCCCCACATAGCTATGTGTCCTGGAGGGTCATCCGTCAGGAGAACTTCCCCATGACATCCACAGCTGCCCAGTGCCCTATTGAGGGGACGCCTTGGGATTGATTCCGTTTCTCTTTGATCCAAGTCAGGTGGGTTACAGTCATGGTTTTACAAATAACAACTCCATAAGAAATAGCTTCGAACTTGTAAAAGACTTGTTTTTTGTTTTGTTTTGTTTTGTTTTGTTTTGTTTTGTTTTTGACAGATTCTTGCTCTGCCACCCAGGCTGTAATGAGTGCAATAGTGCGATCTTGGCTCACTGCAAGCTCCGCCTCCCGGGTTCATGCCTTTCTCCTGCCTCAGCCTCCCAAGTAGCTGGGACTACAGGCGCATGTCACCATGCCCAGCTAAATTTTGTATTTTTAGTAGAGATCAGGTTTGGCCATGTTGGCCAGGCTGGTCTCAAACTCCTGACCTCAAGTGATCCACCCGCCTCAGCTTCTCAAAGTGCTGAGATCACAGGCGTGAGCCACTGTGCCCAGCCATAAATACCGTATTTTATGTCACATTCACAGGCCAATTGGCTAAATTTAGATCTGGGCATCCCAGGGTGGAACTATCCAAGACCCAGTGCTGAATTCATTGTTACAGTCTGAGGATCCCCATACAAAGTGAGAGGCAGTAAGGGAGAAGTTGCTGGTCCATGGTCTCAGGGAAAACCCTCTAGATTCTCATGCATATCTCTGTTCAAGGCTAGATCAGGTCCAGTTCAGCTCATCTTTCCTGCAAGTAGGAGAGATGTCCTGACCTTGGTATTCTAGGGTGAAAATTTTGAAATCTCTTGGCACTACCGAGTTGGCAATGTTCATAAATCAGAAAAAGTGCTAAACTCCCACTGGGCAGTTTTATAGATGAGCTTTTGGTGAAGAATTTCTTAGTAAAGTGAAGTTCAATCGGCAATACTGTCTCAAAGGTGGAGCATATGTTTTTTTTTAAAAAAAAGAACATTAACGGCAAGCTTCCCGAAGAAATCTTGAGATAGAAATAGAAGAAAAATGAAAAATGTATAATAATATAGACCATCCTCCTGACATTATTATCTTGATGACTGGTTAAGAGTAATGATCAGGGCCGGGTGCGGTGGCTCACGCCTGTAATCCCAGCACCTTGGGAGTCCGAGGCGGGTAGATCACGAGGTCAGGAGTTCAAGACCAGCCTGGCCAAGACAGTGAAACCCCATCTCTGCTAAAAATACAAAAATTAGCCAGGCATGGTGGCAGGTCCCTGTAATCCCAGCTACTCAGGAGGCTGAGGCAGAGAACTGCTTGAACCTGGGAGGTGGAGGTTGCAGTGAGCTGAGATCACACCACTGCACTCTGACAAAGCGAGACTCCGCCTCAAAAAAAAAAAAAAAGAGTAATGATCAAGCAGTTCAGAGGGTCAATATTATCAGATGCTTCAGAGAATTCCAGGCTGAGAAATAACAATAAAAGCCAAGTTAATGTTTCCAATGACTTAACTAGCTTTATATCTGCACCACACACTTCAGTTCACCTTTCAAGTGTCTTCATAAAATCAATTAACTAAAATTAATCCATTAAATATAAGTTAGAACAAAATACACTTAAGCTTTTAATTAAGACAACCAAATGTATTCAACTTCATTGGAAACAAAAAGAATATGAAGCACCAGTTAAAAGCAGTGTGTTGTACTCAATGTAGGATTCTTGATTGTGATTCATTTGAAAGACTATTCCCAGATTCATTTGTACTAAATCATGCTGTTTGTTTAATGTGTTGTGTAGCATTTTCTGAGTGGTATTCTATTTACAATATACAAAGTTACTCTAACAAATTAATTTATAAGTGCATTAATATCACATATTATTTGTAGCATAATAAATTCAAAATATTTTTGCACCCACATCTTTTCACCAGCAGCAAGATAACTTGAGTTATAGCACAAAATAGTTGAATATTTCTATGTCAAAATAAGTTTCTTGGGAGGTATGTAAAACCTTGTCGCATAGGATGAAATGTGTGGATGGAAGAATCTGAGAATCAGAAATGCCCAAATAGTTCTGAACTTTCCAGGACAAAAGAAGCAATTTAGTCCACTTGTACTTGCTAAAGTCAAGCAAATTTCTTGCAAAGTCTTCTTCTGCAGCTGCACCAAAAAATTACCTACACCATTGGAATTCGACAGGATTAGTAAAGACCAATATATGAAAATTCTGGCTATAAAAATAGTTTACAAAATTATCTTATAGATCAAAAAAGAATCTCTCTATATACATCTGTTTTCAACACCAGTAGACTACTTCTTAGCTTAAATATAAATTACTAGAGTATAATTAAATTTAAAACACCAAGAAGAAATAGGCCAAGGAATAATTAGGAGGCGCTTTTTTGTAATACATACTTTAAGTTTTAGGGTACATGTGCACAACGTGCAGGTTTGTTACATATGTATACATGTGCCATGTTGGTGTGCTGCACCCATTAACTCGTCGTTTAACATTAGGTATATCTCCTAATGCAATGTTCTCTTGTCAAACTAATACATAAATATTGTTACCATCATGATCCTCTTTGCAGAATAAAAAGGAAATGTGTCCTCCACCTAATGTTAGTAGGCTGAATATTTGCAATTCCCTTACTTCTCCTGACAAATAAAACCAGTTAACTAGAAACTTCGGCATTTCTAGAAGAGAATAGGGCATGCAAATACCAGCTGGTGGTGTTTTATCTGAAACCACACTTTAGCTATGACTCAAAACTCAGTTCCTTCTGTCTCTCAAACAAACAAACAAAATTCATGGCACATGTGTGTATAGAAACACACATACACTACATAAGTATGAATTCAGAGAGAGAGGGGATGGGGGTTGGGGGAGATGAGCAATTAGTTTTCTAGGCTGTCATAACAAATTATTATTGGGTGGCTTAAGACAACATAAATTTATTCTCTCAGAGTTGCGAAGCTAAAAATCAAGGTGATGGCAGGGCCAGGGCCAGCGTTCTCTCTGGAGGCTCTTGGGGAGAACCCTCCCTTGCCCTTTCCAGCTCTGGGTGGCTGTTGGCATTCCCTGTGGCTCCTTCAGATAGAGAGATTAACTGATGAACAGATCCATAGGAATACAGGTAAATAGGTAGGCAGATAGATAAGTCAATGAGTCGATTCACAAAGTCTGCCATATTTGACATTGTCGGATTCCATGGTTTTTCCTGTTTTCCAGCTAAGTTCCATGAGACCTGTAGATGGATTTATTGGTACAATTTAGTTGAGCTAAATTATCTGCCAGGAGGGGATGGATGGATCTACAATATAATTATGTATTTGACTAAGCGACTCTTTAACTTGTGATTAAACCTTTTCAAAAATTAAAAAAAAAATGCATGTTAGACATTAAAGTGACCACTCTGATTCCCAAGCTGAGTTACAAGGTTATTGAAAGAGAAGTGGATACAGGAATCCCAGGACATCATAAGGAGAGGCTGCTGGAAAGACACCCCCTAGAGAAACACAGGACCAAGGACCTGCCGGAAATGAAGAAGGTTATAGTGCCTAAACACGTGAAGAGCGTGTAATTGCAGATTTTGCTTACGTGTCTGGAAAGATGTTTGTGGGTGTGTTTGCTTGTTTGTTTTTGCCAGAAAAATTGGGTCATGGTGTTTATATATTTAGAGAATTTTTTTTTAACTGTGTGAAGTAGAAACTTCCGGAACGACAGAGCTGGGGCATGGGGCAAACCATTCCCCAGGAACAAGGGAGAAGCTGGACGAAATGCTCCAAAACAACCACCTCAGGAAGCCCAGGGCTCACACAAGCTGAGAAGCGTCTGCCCACGAACACGGCTGGACTTCAGCAATGAGAGTGCGTCCATGGTGCTGCTGCTGGTGAACTCTGATGGAGCGACAGTGCCTCTGCCCCGATAGGGGTTCTGCCCTGGCTATAGGCGCTCTTCACCTGGAGCGCTGTCTATAAACATGGCCAGGGCAGGGGAACGTTGCAGCTGTGGCCGTGCAGGCTTTGGAGCCAGGTGCATGGCAGCGCTGGAATCGTAACCACAACCCTTCACAGAACGCTGAGTCTGGGAGTCCAACCTCGGTGGGTGGAGGCTCAATGATCTCAACTTTAAAAGCTGGGTTGCTCCCCACCTCTAAGGTGTGCCGTGAGGATCCGCTAAGAAGATTCGGGATAATGGGTGCGCATAACGTTTTGGGTTTTTTTGTTTTGTTTTGTTTTTTGTTTTGTTTTTTATCTGAGACAGACTCTTGTTCCGCTACCCAGGCTGGAGTGCATTGGCACAATCTCGGGTCACTGCAACCCCCACCTCTCAGGTTCAAGCGATTCTCCTGCCTCAGCCTCCCGAGTAGCTGGGATTACAAGTGCCTGCCAACAGGCCCAGCTAATTTTTGTATTTTTAGTAGAGATGGGGTTTCACCTTGTTGGCCAGGCTGGTCTTGAACTCCTGACCTCAGGTGATCCTCCCTCCTCAGCCTCCCAAAGTGCTGGGCATACAGGCGTGAGCCACCGTGCCTGACTGATTTTTGTATTTTTAGTAGGGACAGGGTTTCACTATGTTGGCCAGGCTGGTCTTGAACTCCTGACCCCAGGTGATCCGCCCGCCTCACCTCCCAAAGTGCTGGGATTACAGGCATGAGCCACCGCACCTAACTAATTTTTGTATTTTTAGTAGGGATGGGGTTTTGCCATGTTGGCCAGGCTGGTCTTGAACTCCTGATCTCACGTGATCCACCCGCCTTGACCTCCCAAAGTGCTGAGATTACAGGCGTGAGCCACTGCATCCGGCCAAACATTTTGTAAAGGAAAAATAGAACAAAACCTCAGGACTCCCAAATTCCTAATGTAAAAGGGGAGGTCAGCCTGGAGGCTGAGTCAGCGGCACCCTCTTCCAGTTGGACAGCGGTTGCTGGCATTTGGCATCAGCCAGATCCCCCACGGGAAGAGGCTCCGGGCATCCACCGAGGCCCTCACACATCATTCATAAGGAAATTCCTTGCTGGCCTCCAGGTCTGCAATCTAAGTCTAGCTAAAACTCAGGTCTGTTTTATTCCACACTGATAATGTCCGTTACAAGCTTATCTTCCCAGGCACAGAGCAAAGACAAGATGAGATCAGCCATTCTTCCACCTACCCAGAGACGTCTGCGTAATTGATTTTTCCTTTACTCCCCTTTTCTCTTCAAGCATGCACCTTATCTTAGGTAAAAGGTAGATTTACTGGGCAGTAACTGGAACCATTCACCTCACCACCTACCTGCCCCTCGGCCTCTGTGCCTGTCTTTCTTTAAGGAAATGAGTAAAGAATAAATCTTCGGAGAGCCTCTTTGGAAAAAGGAGACACAGATGTGTCTGTGGCTTGCGTTTTTCCCGGCTGTGCCTTAAAGCTGGCTTAATAATGCCTCCATTGAGGCCGGGCGCGGTGGCTCACGTCTGTAATCCCAGCACTTTGGGAGGCCGAGGCAGGCGGATCACGTGAGGTTGGGAGTTCCAGACCAGCCTGACCAACATGGAGAAACCCCGTTTCTACTAAAATACAAAATTAGCCGGGCGTGGTGGCGCATGCCTGTAATCCCAGCTACCCGGGAGGCTGAGGCAGGAGAATCGCTTGAACCCGGGAGGCGGAGGTTGCAGTGAGCTGAGATCGTGCTGTTACACTCCAGCCTGGGCAACAACAGCAAAACTCCGTCTCTAATAATAATAATAATAACAATAACAATAATAATCCTCCATTGATTGAGACTTTTGCCTCGGTCACTCATTCTGGTCGTCAGTTTGATGATGCTCCTGACTCTGCTGTGTCCACGTCCGCAGCTCAGGCTCTACTGAGAGATGCCCGCCCACCCACGTCCTGACTCTGAGGGACAGGGTGCAGGTCTGCGGTGAGGGGACAGCAGAGGGTCCGTGGTCCTGCGTAGGGCCGTCCCGTCCTCCACAGGACCAGAATGTCCTTTAAAAGGCTAAAGCTGCAGGGCGCTACGTCACTAGCACCCAGGATGAGGCGGAGTCAGCCTTGTCTGTCTCTTCCCGCCAGTGGACATCATTTTTCCAGGCAGTCTGGGGGTGTATCCAAGAGTCTTGGCCCTGCCACAGCCCAGGCTGCCTGGCCCTGTGCAGAGAGCAGGTGGGCAGGGTTTTACAGAATCTCAGATGCTGCTCCTGGCTGTCGGAGATCCCTCAACTCAGCGTTTCCCCAACAACACGGTGACATGGCGGAAGAACCAGGCGCACCTCGTGACCATCTGTGCTATGCCGTCTACACACATGCATGCACACACACACGCACACTCACAATCTCACACACACTCACATACACACACACAACATGCACACACTCATACAATCTCACACACTCACATACACACATGCGCACTCACACACAATCTCACACACACACGCACACACACCATGCAAACACTCATACAATCTCACATGCACACACACACGCACACACATGCACACTCATGCAATCTCACACACTCACATACACACACATACACATGCACATACAACATGCACACACTCATACAATCTCACACACTCACACACATGCACACTCACACACAATCTCACACACACGCACACAACATGCAAACACTCATACAATCTCACATGCACACACGCACACACAATCTCAGACACACACAACATGCACACACATACAATCTCACACACTCACATACACACACGCACACACAACACACACACACATACATATACTCACACACACTCATACACATACAAATAAACCCACACAGAAACACACTCAAACTCACACACACACACCTACACACACACACACACCTCCCCACATACACACAGATGCATGCAAATGCAACTACAGAGAGAGAAACAAAAACACACAAATTCAAACACGTACAGACAAAAACACACAAATCTACACAGACACAAAAATACAAACATGCATACATATACACACCCAAACACATACAAACACACACACACAAGCACACACAGAAACACCCCTACAAACGCACACGCAGCTCTGCACAGAATTTTGGAACTTGTCTGAACCCACTGGGCTCCAACCTGCGATCAGGATGTCCAGGGGGTCCCTGGGGGCCGAGCACTCGGAGGAGAGGTTGTGTGCACCATACGTAGCATCTGTATTGGCCCCCTTGGGAGCGGCTCACAGGGCCCAGGGGGAAGTTGGCCTGGGAGAGCCCAGCCTCGGGCTGCTGGCCAGGGCGCTGGAGGAAGTCACGTGCCCCCTCCTAGTACACAGCGAATCTGTGGTAGCCGACATCAGAGCTGCACTGGAGGGTCAGTCCACGCAGGGTCCTTGGGGGTCAGGAGGGAGGGCTTCCTAGACACACATGGAGGGAACAATGACCTGAAACTGGAGGAGGCGGCTCCTCACAGACACCTCAGACCCTCCTCCGGACTTCCCATCTCATTATCTCTCATGGCTTATGGGAAAATGAGCTATTTTTGAGACCGTTTATGGTATAATGTAGGTTTGCTGAGGATCTCCCCAACAGCTCTGAAAGAATGTATTATATCTTTTTTAGGTCTTCAGAGTCTAAGGTGCTTTTGGGAACATTTGTTGAAAATATTTTTGCTGACGATGTTAAGAACCTGTTGAAAGGTTATTCTTAGGAGAGATACTGGAGAAGTGGGTCTCCATATTCAAATGACCTGGAGAAACCCCAAGAGGATGATTATTCATTAGAGCGGCAAGTATTTAGCATAATGCCGTTGAACCTGACTGTATCTAGAAGACACACACACACACACACACGCACACAAACAACCCTATGCACAACTAGTAAATAGCAAGCTCGGCTTTCATGTGGTTTTACACTTTCATGCAGATACGGAGGTGTTTGTGGAGGGGTCTCTGTGGGTTTCCCGTGAGTACAGAGAAGGAACAGCTGTGTGTGTGTAATGGGCACTGTAATTTCTAAAAATATAACTCACTGTAAGCAAGGTATTTGAGGACACACTGCCATTACAAAATGTTCCCAAATCTGGTGGCTCACGCCTGTGATCCCAGCACTTTGGGAGGCCGAGGCGGGCGGATCATGAGGTCAGGAGATTGAGACCATCTTGGCTAACACGGTGAAACCCCATCTCTACTAAAAAAATACAAAAAATTAGCCGGGCGTGGTGGCGGGCGCCTGTAGTCCCAGCTACTCGGGAGGCTGAGGCGGGAGAATGGTGTGAACCCGGGAGGCGGAGCTTGCAGTAAGCCCAGATCACGCCACTGCACTCCAGCCTGGGCGATAGAGCGAGACTCCGTCTCAAAAAACAAACAAACAAATAAAAAGTTCCCAAATTTGCCTCTGATGATTAAACATTACTGAAGTCCTAGATCTGTGCACACTTCCCTGAAACTTAGCATCACTCAGAGTTGCCAAGAGGCACATCATGTAACCTGGGATGAGTTCACAGCGCATGGTGGGCCTGAGACTAAGCTCAGGTATCTAAGCAGACTCAAATTAGGAACTTCGTCATTCTTGCACCGGAAATTATGGTTTTGTTGCTCAAATATTCTAAGTCAGAGAATGGGAAAGGAAAAAAATGGAGAAATCATGATTTTATATATATATATATATATATATATATTTTTTTTTTTTTTTGAGACGGAGTCTCGCTCTGTCACCCAGGCTGGAGTGCAGTGGCGTGATCTCGGCTCACTGCAAGCTCTGCCTTCCAGGTTCACGCCATTCTTCTGCCTCGGCCTCCCGGGTTGCTGGGGCTACAGGTGCCCGCCACCATGCCCGGCTAATTTTTTTGTATTTTTAGTAGAGACGGGGTTTCACTGTGTTAGCCAGGATGGTCTCAATCTCCTAATCTCATGATCTGCCCACCTTGGCCTCCCAAAGTGCTGGGATTACAGGCGTGAGCCACCACTCCCGGCCATCATCATGATATTTTTAAAAGTTAAAAATATCAACTCGTTTTCTTTTTTAAAAAAAATAATGCAAGCTAGTAAACTACAAAAAGTTCAACATAAAATAAAAGCAACCATCGTGACTTATATTTACTGAGTTGGTGGATAAGCAAGAATTAGGACCTGGCTCTGGGTAGCTGGGAATGGAGGTGCTGTTCTCAGCGTGCAAATCTACATTGACTGTTTTCAGGAGCTTTCATTGTAGAGACCTAGGGAACAGCTCCTCATAACGGCCGCAGGGATGGTCATTCTGACTTCCCGTTCCACTGCACATCTGTCCTGTGCAGCTGAGAGGCGAGGCTGTGGCTCACTGCAGCATTATTGCACACGAGTGCTGTTCTGCCCCATAGAAGGCTCCAGACTACGCTCCACATTTAGGTCTTTTTCTTTCTATCTACCCTTTTCCAGTCAAAATGTTCATTTTGTGTTTAAGCTGTGGTGGACAGTGAACCCCCTACACACATTCCAGGGACTGGAAGCCTGCACACGGCTCATGTATCCCCTCACTTCGGGGCCTAGGTGCTGGCCGGGGATGTTAATGTTTCTGCCTGTCCAGGTAGCAGTGAGGGAGCCAAGGAGCGGTGCTGCGGGAATTCGCCAAAGCTCAGAATGTAATCATTTCCCAGGAAGCAGAGAGTCTAGGGGGAATGAATCTTCCTGGGGCCCTGAGCGAAGACAGAGGCATCAAAGGGACCCACATCCATGATGAGAGAACGCAGAACAGAAAGATTCCGTCAACAGCCACCCCGTGGGCAAGGCCGTCTTCCCTGGTGTGTTACCGGCTTCTGCTCAGTGAGACAAGTCCTGGTGGTGATAGGAGCTCGGCTGCATCACAGTCCTCCACCTGCGACCTGATGGTCTTGAGTGGCCGCTCCTCAGGGTGGGAAATGCTCTGCATGTCCCTGTGGCAGGGAAGTGCTCGGGTGCACGTTGCCCATGGTCACCTCTGTCGTGCTCTGAATCCCTGACACTCCAGACTGGATCCAGCAGAAGAGACGCTGACAGAGACTCCCTGGATCACAGAGCAGCGTGGTGACCCGAAGCAGAACAGGAGACTCATCTGTCCTCAGAAGTGATTCACCTGCAGCATGCGCCCTAGCCCGCGTCCACAGTCCAGAAACAGAACCAGAGACTCCTCTGCCAGGTGAATGTCCAAGGGGCTGCTCGGGGAAAGGCGCTGAGGCTGTTCCGGGAAACACGTGAGATGCGTGTGCACCCAGATCTCCACGTGTGGCTCTTACGTGATGGGATGGAAGCTGATTGGTGCTGCTGCCCCAAGGTTGTCAGTGCCCTCGACTGGAGGACAAACACCAACCCCGCCATCCCTGGATGGACAGACAGGTATAAAGACGCCGGCTATGCAAGGGTTCTGCAGGGAGCACCTGCAGTTCACGTGGTTCAACAACCCCAGTTGCCCCACAGTTGAGACCAGCCTGGTTGGTATCATGCAGGTGACTAAGCCTTAAAAAATGTTAAGACTGGGCCGGGCTCGGTGGCTCACGCCTGGAATCCCAGCATTTCGGGAGGCCGAGGCGGGTGGATCATAAGGTCAGGTGTTCAAGACCAGCCTGGCCAACATGGTGAAACCCCGTCTCTACTAAAAAAAAAATACAAAAATTAGCCGGGTGTGGTGGCAGGTGCCTGTAATCCCAGATACTCAGGAGGCTGACGCAGGAGAATTGCCTGAACCCAGGGGGTGGAGGTTGCAGTGAGCTGAGATTGGGCCACTGCACTCCAGCCTGGCAACAGAGTAAGACTCTGTCTCAAAAAAAAAAAAAAAAAAAAAAAAAAAAAAAAAAGTTAAAATTGAAGCTGGAAGCCATCATTCTCAGCAAACTAACACAGGGACAGAAAACCAAACACCACATGTTCTCACTCATCAGTGGGAGTTGAACAATGAGAACACATGGACACAGGGAAGGGAACAACACACACCAGGGCCTGTCTGGGGGTAGGGGAAGGGGAGGGAGAACATTAGGACAAATACCTAATGCGGGGCTTAAACCTAGATAACAGGTTGATAGGTGCAGCAAACCACCATGGCACATGTATACCTATGTAACAAACCTGCACGTTCTGCACATATATCCCAGAACTTAAAGTAAAATAAGTAAATAAGAGTACAACGTGAGAGTTTTGAGAGAACTATTAACTTTTTGGTTATCTCAAATTTAAACCTGTCAAATGATTGTCAAGAATTTGAAGTATTCAAAAACTAAAAGTAAATACAGTAAAAATAAAATCAAAAGAAAGTATGAAGGAACATGGAAAAATGGACAAACCAGGAGAGTAAGTGCAAACAGGCCGGGCACGGTGGCTCACGCCTGTAATCCCAGCACTTTGGGAGGCCGAGGCGGGCAAATCACGAGGTCAGGAGTTCGAGACCAGCCTGGCCAACAGTGTGAAACCCCATATCTACTAAAAATACAAAAATTAGCTGGGCATACTGATACGCACCCATATCACTCATATATGGGATTACATATGAGTAATCCCATAGACTCAGGAGACTGAGGCAGGAGAATCACTTGAACCCAGGAGGTGGAGTTTGCAGTGAGCTGAGATCGCACCATTGCACTCCAGCCTGGGTGACAAGAGCGAAACTCCATCCCCCCGCCCCACAAAAAAAGTGCAAACAATTTTCGTCCCAAATAATTATGAAATTTATAATTTCTCAGGGCACATAATGTTTCTTGATAGAAAGGAAAATGAAGAGTAAAACACTCATGTGTGGAAAGTTGGTTGATTCATTTTTCCACCAGATAAATGTTGAAGCTACACTTAACTATGAAGTGTAGGAACATGGAATACTTGAATTATCTTATCAGGTCACATTTATCATTGGTTGTAAATCACTTTTTAAAATGCTCACTTTTGGCCAGGTGCAGTGGCTCATGCCTGTAATCCCAGCACTTTGGGAGGCCGAGGCAGGCAGATCACAAGGTCAGGAGTTTGAGACCAGCCTGACCAACATGGTGAAACCCTGTCTCTACTAAAAATACAAAAAGTAGCCAGGTGTGGTGGTGGGTGCCTGTAATCTCAGTTACTCCAGAGGCTGAGGCAGGAGAATCGCTTGAACCCGGGAGGTGGAGGCTGCAGTGAGCTGAGCTCATGTCACTGTACTCCAGCCTGGGTGACAGAGAGAGACTCCAGAAAAAAAAAAAATGCTCACTTTCTGTTATTTTTGAGAGGATGGTGTGGAAGCAAAATTAAAATCATTTCTGGCTTGCATAGTTTCCCTTTAGCATCAGTTGACTCTGCGGCATAACCACCCTGTGTGCAGAGGCTCAGAGAGAAGACACGTTTTGGTCTTTCACTTTTACCCTGCTTATCAAAACGAGATTGCTGCAGGACCAACCTAGCTGTAGAATATACAATAGTAAGGGTAGGGCCGTCATGCAAATAGCCAGGCTGGGAGTGTGCCTGCCATTCACCCTCACATCCACTAACCAGCATTTGTCTCTTAGCTCACATATCCCAGACTGTAGAGGAAGCATGATCCTCCCTTTGGCCCAGGGAGACAGAGAAACTACTTCTGGGTAACATCAGAGGATCTCTGATGTTTGCTCCACGCTCTGCTCCCTGGAAGGGTTGGGTGTCCTCATCACTTACCAGACCTGAGTTGCTGATACCTCCTCCTATGGGCAGGATCCTTGGAGGGTTGCATTGAGTCCCAGAGGTTAATCAGACTCAGTCCTGCCTCAAAAATCTCATAGTCCCATCCTGGCCAACATGGTGGAACCCCGTCTCTCCTAAAAATGCAAAAATTAGCGGTGCGTGGTGGCACGCACCTGTAGTCCCAGCTACTCGGGAGGCTGAGGCAAGAGAATCTCTTGAACCTGGGAGGCAGAGATTGCAGTGAGCTGAGGTCACACCACTGCACTCCAGCCTGGCAACGACAACAACAAAAAAAACTCACAGTCCACACATGAAAGACCAGTGGGGATCAGGCCATAAAAACTCAGCCTATTGGGCACAGACACTGTGAGTCAATCAACCTCCTCACTTAGCCTATGAGATAAAGACATGTGTATGAAGGTGGATGTCTGCACTGAGATGCTCAAAAAAGGGAGATAATTACCAGGTGAAGAAACAGCATGTGACAATTCCATGAGCCAGTGACAGCTCGTTGCAGGCAGCAGTTTGTGAATTGCTCTGGGTAGGTGCCAATTCAAGTAGAAAGAAACAGAATAAAGGCTCAGAGGAAGACGTCATCAGAAAGCAGCTTCCAGAGCATGTTCTGTGCGGAGAATGGATGTGTGCTTTCTCTCCATGTGAAACCAGGGGACGAGAAAAGGTACAAATAGGAGGTTGTCATGAGCGTCTGTGTGAAGAGACCACCAAACAGGCTTTGTGTGAGCAACAAGGCTGTTTATTTCACCTGGGTGCAGGTGGGCTGAGTCTGAAAAGAGAGTCAGCAAAGGGTGGTGGGATTATCATAAGTTCTTATAGGTTTGAGATGGGCGTACAAAGTACATTCTCAAGGGCGCGGAGAATATTACAAAGTACCTTCTTAAGGTCGTGGAGGGGGCTGGCGTTGGGGGGAGGATATTACAAAGTACCTTCTTGGCGGGGGGTGGGTGGCAGTGGGGAGAAATATTACAAAGTACCTTCTTTTTTTTTTTTTTTTTTTTTTTTTTTTTGAGACAGAGTCTTGCTCTATCGCCCAGGCTGGAGTGCAGTGGCGCGATCTCAGCTCACTGCAAGCTCTGCCTCCTGGGTTCACGCCATTCTCCTGCCTCAGACTCCCAAGTGGCTGGGACTACAGGCACCCGCCACCATGCCCAGCTAATTGTTTTGTATTTTTTTAGTAGAGACGGGGTTTCACCACATTAGCCAGGATGGTCTCGATCTCCTGACCTCATGATCCACCCACCTCGGCCCCCCAGAGTGCTGGGATTACAGACATGAGCCACCGCACCCAGCCTCGAAGTACCTTCTTAAGGGGAGGGGAGAATATTACAAAGTACCTTCTAAAGTTGTGGGGGAGAATATTACAAAGTACCTTCTTAAGGGGAGGGGAGAATATTACAAAGTACCTTCTAAAGTTGTGGGGGAGAATATTACAAAGTACCTTCTAAAGTTGGGGAGAATATTACAAAGTACCTTCTAAAGTTGTGGGGGAGAATATTACAAAGTACCTTCTTAAGGCGGGCGAGCGGGGGCAGGGCGGTGGGGGGTAAGGGGGCGAGGAATATTACAAAGTACCTTCTTGGGCGGGGCAGAATATATGGTATCAGTTAGTGGGGCGGGAACAAGTCACAGTGGTGGAATGTCATCAGTTAAGGCTATTTTCACTTCTTTTGTGAATCTTCAGTTGCTTCAGGCCATCTGGATGTGTACGTGCAGGTCACAGGGGATAGGATGGCTTAGCTTGGGCTCAGAGGCCTGACAGAGGTGACCTTCTCAAAGTTTGGGAGAAAATCTCTATGGCAGAAATTTGCATGAGGATAAGAGGTGATAAGACACTCCACAAGAGAACTCTGCTTGTTCCCCGCATTTCGTAAGATAAAGACATGTCACCATTGATGTGAAATATTATCGTTTTGTTACATTAGGTCTCTTCCAGGAGCCTGCACTGCATGAGAAAATAGGCTCTGCATCTTCAAATTTGCACCTTTAATCTAGAACAGCTAGAACTTCCTCTGACAAGGAAAACATTTTGTGTTCATGCTATTCTCTCCCACAGCCAGCAGCCACACGTGGCTCTGAGAACTCAAATTGTGGCCATGTGGCTGAGGAACTGAATTTTAAACTTCATGGAATTTGATCTATTCTAATTCTAAGTTAAAAAGCCATATTTGGCTAGTGGCTACCATATTAGATGACTCAGATATAGAATACACTTCATCTCTGCAAAATTTTGTTGAGTAACAGCAAAGACGTGGAATCAACCCAAATGCCCATCAATGATAGACTGGATAAAAATAAAGTTGTACATATACACCACGGAATACTACGCAGTCATAAAAAGGAATGAGATCATATCATTTGCAGAGACATGAATGAAGCTAGAAGACATTATCCTCAGCAAACTAATGCAGGAACAGAAAACCAGACACCGCATGTTTTCACTTATAAGTGGGAGCTGAACAATGAGAACACATGGACACAGGGAGGGGAACACATTCACTGGGGCCTGTCAGAGGAGGGCAGGGGGTATGGAGAGCATTAGGGAAGAGAGCTAATGCCTGCTGGGCTTAATACCTAGGTGACGGTTTGATAGGTGCAGCAAACCACCATGGCACACGTTTACCTACGTAACAAACCTGCACATCCTGAGCATGTACCCCAGAACTTTAAAAAAATTTTTTTAAAAAAACCTTATTGAGTAATTTAGAGATTAAACTGGCTGAGCATATACATCGGCTTTCCAGAAGCATGTCTGTAGAGTTTCAGGATAACTCAGATGATATTAATGAGATATCCAGGATGAGTGTGTGGGTAGAGTCAAATCACCTTAAATGGTTGGATGCTCAAAATAGAATTGTAGAATGGCTAGTTGTCTGTTCAGCAGTGCTGGAATTTTAAGATAATCCCACAAGCATTCAGACACTGCTGTTGCCAGCTTCGAGGTGTCAAGATGGTACCAGAAGGAGGAAGAATGTCCGTGGAAAAAAAATCCTCCTAGGAATAGATCCAGGTCCTTGCGTATTAATGCCCTTTGTGCCAAAGACTGGGGGCAGCTCTGGCCTCAGCCTGGGCTTGGTGGACAGTGATGTAGATACTAGGATCCTTCGAGAGGTAGTGGGGACACTGGGAGGCAGGAGGGAATCCTGTCTGTGAGAGGGCCTGGTGGTTTAACTGGGCATATATGATCTCCTGTGTCTCTTCTGCTGCAGGCTCCTGAGAGGATGAAGGTGAAAAGAGGAGCATATTTAGTGGCTGAAGGCAGGGGCACTGGGAATGGGAGGGGATGAAGCTGTGGTGATGGTTTCGGCTGGGAGAACTCACCTCTTCATCCGTCCGTTGGCCTTCCGTGGGCTCTGTGTTTGCCATGGTGGTGTCTGTGGGGTGAAAAAGAAAGTCTTCCAGATCTTCACTTCAGAGGTGGCAATACCAAGACCAAAACAAGGCAAGGGCGTGCCTGAGGCTGCAGCGTGATCCAGCCTCCCCCACTAAATTCAGAGAACCACCCATCAGCAACCTTGGGGCAATCTTGACTGCCCCAGGACCGCTCCGATAGATGGCCCCCATCCTTCTGCCTCTCTCATGGACCATCTCCTGCAGGTCAGTGGCCTCCCCAGAGGTGAGGTGGAGGTAGGGGAGGGGTTGGGGTGATTGGTCAGTGAAGGGAAGGAGCAGGGTTTCTCCATCAAGAACCTCAACGGAGGCCGGGCACACTGGCTCACGCCTGTAATCCCAGCACTTTGGGAGGCCGAGGCGGGCGGATCATGAGGTCAGGAGATAAAGACCATCCTGGCTAACATGGTGAAATTCCATCTCTACTAAAAATACAAAAAATTAGCCGGGCATGGTGGTGGGCACCTGTAGTCCCAGCTAATCGGGAGGCTGAGGTGGAAGAATGGCGTGAGCCCGGGAGGCAGAGCTTGCAGTGAGCCGAGATTGCGCCACTGCACTCCAGCCTGGGTGACAGAGCAAGCCTCCATCTCAAAAAAAAAAAAAGAACCTCAGCGGAAACACAGATCAACCCACAGGACGTGAATAGCACCCCCGTGCCCCAGTCACATCCCCACGGGGCTCACATGATACTGTCCTCCCCTCCCTGAGACTTACGATATTTTATGTAACACCAGAAACCAATAAAAGCAGAGAGGCAAACGCCAATGGAGATGATGGCTACTGAGAGTCCAGTGAGCATATGCAGGTTGCTGGACTGTCCTTGAGGGCGAGGTGTGTCTGTCAAGAAGCAAATGATAAACCCTCTCATTGACTGGTTGCCTGTTTTGTGCCAATACATACTGAACACACAACATGCTTTATCTGAAGCTCTTCCAAGATCCCTACACCCGAACAGTTACTTTCTCCATTTTCCATCACTTACACAAAAAATTCCAAGAGAAGTGAAGACACGTGTCCAAATCAAATGGCCAGTAAGAGAGATGCAGAGGCCTGGTGTGGTGGTTCACACCTGTAATCCCAGCACTTTGGGAGGCAGAGGTGGGCAGATCACCTGAGGTCAGGAGTTAGAGACCAGCCTGGCCTACATGGCAAAACTCCGTCTCCACTAAAAACACAAAAATTAGCCAGGCGTAGTGGTACACGCCTGTGATCCCAGCTACTCAGAAGGCTGAGGCAGGACAATCGCTTGAACCCAGGAGGCAGAGGTTGTAGTAAGCCGAGATTGTACACAGGGTGGGTGACAGAGCAAGACTCCATCTCAAAAAAAAAAAAAAAAGAAAAAAAAAAGGAGAGACATGGAGGTCTGAACCCAGGCCTACCAGGCTCCAGTGTGCCTCCCCTCCCACTTCCTCATGAGACAAGACAGTTTGTTTTTGCATGACAAAGGAAACCCTCTGCATGTACCATAGCTGAATACCATTTCCCTCGTCCCTTCTCAGCCCAGGACAAATACACTTTCTGAGAATGGAGATAGAGGTGGCCAGAGGATGACTCTCATGCCAGTTTCTGAGAATTGAACTTGCTCCAAACAATGTTGGTGTTTTTCTGAGTAATGAGTAAGAGCAGGTGGGTGGAGGATTCAGGAGAGAAAAAGGGGAGGGGGCACAGGCTATGTCACATAGGAGCATACCCTCCGTACCAGGACCCATGCTGAGAGGTGGTGGGAGGACTTCCACATGTGTGGACACATCTCATCACTCTCTCATCCATGATATAGTCCTTGAAAGAGAAAAGACTGTAGCCAGCCGTACTCTTGGGCTCAATTCTAGACATGTCTGCTACTTCTAGACATTCAACTTGGGAAGCTTTTCTTTCTTCTCTTTCCTACTTTTTTTTTTTCCATAAGGAGGGAGGCATCATTAGCCCAATATTCTATCCAACAACTTGGATGCTTTGGCCAGGTGCCATGGCTCATGCCTGTAATCCCAGCACTTTGGGAGGCACAGACAGGCTGATCACTGGAGTTCAGGAGTTCAAAACCAGCCTGACCAACATAGTGAAACCTGTCTCTACTAAAAATACAAAAATTAGCCGGGCGTGGTGGCAGACACCTGTAATCCCAGCTACTTGGGAGGCTGAGGCAGGAGAATCACTTGAAACTGGGACATTGCAGTAAGCCAGTTTCATACCACTGCACTCCAGCCTGGGCAACACAGAGAGACTCTGGCTCAAACAAAAAGAAGAAAACAAAAGAAAAAAGAAAAGAAAAGAAAACGGATGCTTTCCAAGATGAGTGACCATAACTAGCAGAGCCATCCATTGAGCCCAAGTGTCTGATTATAATCTTTTCTCTTTCAAGGACTATGTCTCGTTCCCCCATAAGGCTCCCTGCTGAGTTGCTACTTCTCTGATAGCCCAAGTATGAGTTGCCATCAATGGAATCAGAGGCTCAGAGAGAAATGAGCGTGCCCCAGGTCATGCACTGAGAAATACTGGAACAAGTTTCCAAACTCTCCCTCTTAGTGACTCCAGCTCTGAGCCTCTCCTGAATCCACCTGCTCAACTCCTTCTCCAGCCCCAGCACATCTAAGCTGCCATGAGTGTCCTCTACAAGGATGTCACAGCCCCACCAGGCTCCTGGCTTCCACTCCTGCCTCCCTGTAATAAACACTATTCACATCGGCCGATTGCTATCTCTAAAATAGAATGTGGATCATGACACGTTTCTGACTAAAACCTTTGTCTTCGGCCAGGCACAGTGGCTCATGCGTGTAATCCCAGCACTTTGGGAGGTCAAGGTGGGTGGATCACCTGAAGTCAGGAGTTCAAGACCAGCCTGGCCAACATGGTGAAACCCTGTCTCTACTAAAAATACAAAAATTAGCCAGGCTTGGTGGCGGGCCCCCTGTAATCCCAGCTACTCAGGAGGCTGAGGCAGGAGAATCGCTTGAACCCAGGAGGCGGAGGTTGCAGTGAGCCAAGATCACGCCATTGCACTTCAGCCTGGGCAACAGAGCAAGACTCTGTCTCAAAAAAAAAGAAAAAAAAAAACGGCTGGGCACAGTGGCTCACACCTGTAATCCCAGCACTTTGGGAGGCCAAGGCAGGCGGATCACAAGGTCAAGAGATCGAGACCATCCTGGCCAACATGGTGAAACTTGGTCTCTACTAAAAATACAAAAATTAGTCGGGTATGGTGGTGGGTGCCTATAATCCCAGCTACTCAGGAGGCTAAGGCAGGAGAATCACTTGAACCCGGGAGGCAGAGGTTGCAGTGAGCCGAGATCACGCCACTGCACTCCAGCCTGGAGACAGAGTAAGACTCTGAAAAAAAAACAAAACAAAACTTGTCTTCACCTCTTTATTGGAATAAAATCCAAACTCTTTACTGTTGCTTAGAAACCCTCACTTGGTAGCACCAACAGGCTGGCTCTAGTCAATAAGAACTTTACTGTACATTTTAAAATAAAAAGCATAATTGGGGCCAGGCATGGTGGCTCACACCTGTACTCCTAAGACTTTGGGAGACTGAGGCGGGCAGATCACCTGAGCTCAGGTGTTTGAGACCAGCCTGGACAACATGTTGAAACCCTGTCTCTACTAAAATACAAAAAGTTAGCCAGGCATGGTGGCGTACACCTGTAATCCCAGCTACTTGGGAGGCTGAGGCAGGAGAACTGCTTGAACCCAGGAGACAGAGGTTGCAGTGAGCGGAAAGCGCGCCAATGCACTCCAGTCTGGGTGACAGAGCAAGACTCCATCTCAAAAAAAAAAAAAAATCTTAATTAAATTGTTTGTAACTCAAAGAATAAATGCTTGAGGGGATGGATGCCTTAACCTCCATGATGTGCTTATTTCACATTTCATGCCTGTATCAAAACATCTCATGCGCCTGATAAATATACACACCTACTAGGTACCCACAAAAATTAAACATTTTAAAAACGAGAAACGTTCACACAAGTTGGTCCCTGTCCTCCTCTCTCAGCTCCACCCCTCTCCCCCGACATGTCAGCCTCACTGGTGCTGTGAACACACACAAGGCATTGCCATGTTGAATTTTTTTTTTTTTTTTGAGACGGAGTCTCGTCCTGTCGCCCAAGCTGGAGTGCAGTGGCATAATCTCGGCTCACTGCAACTTCCGCCTCCCGGGTTCAAACAATTCTCCTGCCTCAGCCTCTGGAGTAGCTGGGACCACAGACATGCACCACTACGCCCAGCTAATTTTTGTATTTTTAGTAGAGACAGGGTTTTACCATGTTGACCAGGAACAGCTCGATCTCTTGACCTTGTGATCTGCCCGCCTCAGCCTCCCAAAGTGCTGGGATTACAGTTGTGAGCCCTGCGCCCAGCCCTGCCATGTTGAGTTTATGGCACCACTGTTTACCTGCTGGGAACGTCCTTCCATCAATCCTTCCAACACTGGCTGTCCTTGTCATCAGGATCACACCTTAAATGTCAGTTCCTTGAGTGACATAGAGTCTTCCCTTCCACCTGCTCTAAAGGATCCACTTAAGCTTTCTCTGTCACATGACTCTATCTTAATGAATACAAAATTAATGGATCTGAATAAATCAGTTCACACGTTTATTCATTATAACTTTTCTCCTCCCTGCACACACCACTGGAACACAGGAACTGTTGAATATGTCATAGGACATTAGAAGATGGACAATAAGGCTGGGTGCGGTGGCTCACACCTGTAATCCCAGCACTTTGGGAGGCCAAGGCGGACAGATCACTTGAGGTCAGGAGTTTGACACCAGCCTGGGCAACATGGCGAAACCCTGACTCTACTAAAAATACAAAAATTAGCCGGGTGTGGTGGTGGGCACCTGTAATCCCAGCTACTCGGGAGGCTGAGGCAGGAAAATCGCTTGAACCCAGGAGGCAGAGGTTGCAGTGAGCTGAGATTGTGCCACCGCACTCCAGCCTGGGTGACAGAGTGAGACTCTGTCTCAAAAAAAAAAACAACAAAAAAAGACAGACAGTGAATATCGAATATGGTCTTTTAAATCCTTCCCATCTTCCAGCATTTTCATGTTCACAGACCTCCCTGGAGGAATGAGAAGCATTGCTTTTCAGCAAGGGTCAGGTGACTCTGACCTCTTCCTCCCCTGTGGATGAGGCCTCAGTCCCAAAGCGTCTGAGGCTGAAAGGCCTTACAGATTCCCGCACTGACCACAGTCTCAGATGTGGATGAGGAATGTGGGGACCTGGGAGGGGCTGCCTAGCCCAGGGTCATGGAGCTGGGAGGTGGCACAGCTTTCACTCACACTGGGGCCTTCTGTCTCCCCAGGGACTCAGACACTAGGATAAGAGTTATTTGCTTACCAGATTCAGGGGTGGATTCTGTGAATGACAGAGGAGTACTCTTAGTGTTTCCTAGGAAAAAAAAAGGCAGAGAAGGGGTGAGCAAGCGTCATTGATTGCCCCATTAAAGTAGGACCATTTTCTTTTCTTTCTTTCTTTCTTTCTTTTTCTTTCTTTCTTTCTTTCTTTCTTTTTTTTTTTTTTTTGAGATGGAGTCTTGCTCTGTCGCCCAGGCTGGAGTGCAGTGGTGCCATCTTGTCTCGCTGCAACCTCCACCTCCTGGGTTCAAGCGATTCTCCTGCCTCAGCCTCCCGAGCATTAGCACCATTTTCTTTGGAGGCTTGGTCCCTGCACACCCCCTACTCTGTCATCCACCTAAAGACTAATGGGGGCCCTGGGGTCTCTTCCTTGGAATCTCTGGGGGACAATTCCTTCCCTGGGATGGGAAGGTGATAAGGAGAAGCATGGTGGGTGATGTCAACAGACATTGTCTCCCATCGGGATGATAAATCTCCACGTTCCCCAGCAGGGAGATCTCTCTGTGTTGAGGGGTCAGGAGGGGCTTTGGAGAAATGGAAAAGGGTGAGGGGCAACCTCTGACCTCGACAAACTACATCTGGCCTCACCTCCCCCTGTGTTTGTCCTGACCTCTTTCTTCATACAGAAGGTGGCAGAGGGTGTGGAGCTGCCCCGTCTTACCACCCTACACCCTGACAGCCCCATCATGCTCAGCTTCTTTTTTCCTGTGTGTGTTTGTCACTGTTTCATTTTATCCAGAGTACCTAATACCCCTGTGTGCCCAGCGGGACGCCCCTCACGTGTGGCTCTGTGATCCAGTGGGCACCAGAGCATGCAGCAGGCATGGGCTCCTCACCTGTGGTGTAAAGTTGCAGCGGGTCACTGGGGGCTTATAGGGAGAGTCATTGAAGGAACCATAGCATCTATAGGTCCCGCCAGGGACTGGCGTTGCACGGCCCACAGAAAAGTTGGCCTGGAATGCTTCCCTGTGTCTCTGCCCTCCACTGAGCCACTGTCCATGAGCAACCCCGTGTCTGAACAGATGGTACTGGTCAAATGAGATTTCAGAGCTGCAGAAGAGGGTCAACTTCTCTCCCAGCCTCATCATGGGGTCCACCTGGGTGGAGAGAGAAGGCTTTTTGTATTTTCCTAGGAGAAAAAGAGGCTGATTTTAGAACACACGCCTGAGTGTATGAACAAAGTAATCTCTCTCCCTCTTTTTTTTTTTTTTTTTTTTTCCTTTGAGACAGATTTTCACTCTTGTCTCCTAGGCTGGAGTGCAGTAGCACGATCTCGGCTCACTGCAACCTCAGCATCCCGGGTTCAAGTGATTCTCCTGCCTTAGCCTCCTGAGTAGCTGGGATTAGAGGCACGGACCACCATGCCCAGCTAATTTTTGTATTTTTAGTAGAGACAGGGTTTCACCATGTTGGTCAGGCTGGTCTCGAACTCCTGACCTTGTGATCCGCCCACGTCAGCCTCCCAAAGTGCTGGGATTACAGGCGTAAGCCACAGCGCCCAGCCTCGCTGTTCTTATCTTGGCAGCAGATTCCGAATGTCGGCTGGTGCCCCTGTCAATCTCATGTTCATCTCTAGGGTCCTGAGTCAGCCTATGTCTGTGTCTTTTTACTTCCTCTGCATTTCTTTGATTCTGCTTTTGACTGAGTCCCTGTGGTTTACCGCCCCTAGAAGCCATATGAGATGTGGGGTTCTCCTGGAAAATGGGAATTACTCTGTGCTTTGAGACCCTTCAGAAAACATAGTGCTGGCCTTGAGTTCTCTGACATGGGGCTACGGGGTTATGAGTCTTACTATTTTTCAATTGTGTTTGTTGAAAAATATAAGAATCTCGGGAGGATCAGAAGGAACCTCACAGGATCCCACTGCAGGGAACAACTGGCTGTACCCCCAAGCCCAAGGAGTTAGACGTGACTACTTGTTGGGGAGGGTAGAAGTGACCCCTCCTGCCTCTTTAAGCAGTAAGACATGTTAAACCCCTTTGCTGAGCACTTTTTCACAGTCCCTCTCTTCCTTTATTTCTCTTCCTCTACTGAGGTTTGATTAACAACCGCATTACATGAAGCTCCCATGGCACCAACAGACCACGGATGGTCCAGCCACACTCACCTGTGATCACAATGTCCAGGGGGTCACTGGGAGCCGACCACTCATAGCGGGAGTGACTGAAACAACCACAGC